>NC_000003.12:82737272-83040303 GCF_000001405.40 Homo sapiens
TCTCAAACTGAATGCAAAAAAAGACAATAGTTGCCAACAAAATGAAAGGCTTGTTAGAATTATCTGACAATGACTTTTTTATTTTTAATTTTTATTTTATTTAAAAATGAATTTGTGTATATTTAAGGTGTACAAAATGATGTTATGGGATACATATATAATAAAACATTTACTCTAGTGAAATAAAGTAACATATCCATTATCTCATAGTTACCATGTTCCCCCCACCAAGCCCCATGGGAAATGTAGCTATTTTCTAATCATCTGGGTGAAATTCTGAATATAATACACTATTATTAATTATAGTCCTCATGTTGCACATTAGATGTTTAGAGTTGCTCATCCTACAGATCTGCTACTTTGTATCCTTTTACCTACATTTCCCCATTTCTTCTCCCACCCCACAAATTCTGATAACAACTGTTTGATTCTCTATCTCTGTATATTTGATGTTTTTTGTTATTGAAGATCCCACGTGTATATGAGATCATGCAACGCTTTTCTTTCTGTGTCTGGCTTATTTCATTTAGCATAATGTCCTCTAGGTCTGTCCATGTTGTGGCAAATGACAGTATCTCCCCTTTTTTAAAGGTTTAATAATATTCCATTGTGTGGGTGTGTGTATGTATGTGTATATATACACATATACATACATACACCCCTGTTTCTTTGCCCATTTGTTTATTGTGAGACACCTATGTTGTCTCCATACCTTAGTTATTATGAATAGTGCTACAATAAACATGTACACATTTCTTTAGGAGGTGGTGATTTGACTTATTTGGGTATACTCAGAAGAGGGATTGCTAGGGCAGAAGATAATTCAATTTTTGATTTCCTTAGGAACTCCTTACTGTTTTCCATAATGCTACACCAATTTGTATTCCTACCAAGAGTATATGAAAGTTCCCCTTTCTCCACACCCTCGTCAGCTCATATCTCTTTTCTTTTTGATAACGGCTACTCTAATGGGTGTCAGAGATATTTCATAGTGATTTAATTTGCATTTCCCTTATAATTAGTGATATTAAGCACCTTTTTAATATACTTCTTGGCTTTTTATGTCTTCTTTGAAATATCTATTTAGGTCTTTAGCCCATTTTTAAGTTGGATTATGTGTTTCTTTCCTATTGATGTGTACAAATTCTTTAAAAGTTTTGAATATTAACTCCTTATGAGATATGTGGTAGACAAATATTTTTCCCAGTGACTAGGTTGCATTTTAATTTTATTGATTATTTACTTTGCTATGCAGAAGCTTTTTAATGTGATATATTCCCATTTATTTATTTTTGCTTTTGTAGCCCGAGCTATAAAATATTTCTTGATATTCAAGAAATCATTGCAAAAGCCACCGTCAAGAAGCCTTCCCTTTATGTTTTCACCTAGAAGTTTTAAAGTTTCAGGTCTCTTATCCATTTTAAGTTTTGTGTATGATGTAAAGTAGGGGTTCTTTTGCATGCAGAAATTCAGTTTTCTCAACACCATGTATTAAAGAGATTATCCTTTTCTCATTGTGTCTTTTTGGTGTCCTTGTTGAAAATTAGCTGACTATGTATGTTTAAATTTATTTCTGGTCTCTATTCTGCTCTACTGGTGTATTTTTTTTAATGCCAGTACCATACTATTTTATTGTACTGGTTACTATAGTGTTATGATATAATTTTAAATCAGAAAGTGTGATGCTTCTAACCTTGTTTTATTTTCTCAGTATTGCTTTAGCTATTTGGGATCTTTTGTGGTTCCAAATAAATTTTAGGATTTTGTTTCTATTTCTGTAGGGAATGCTTTTGGGAATTTGATGGGCATTGCATTATGTTTGTACATATTTTAGGTAAAAAGGACATTGTAACAGTATTGATTCTTCTGATCTACTAGGATGGAATATACTATCACTTATTTATGGCCTATTCAATTTCTTTCATTAATGTTTCACAATTTTCAATGTACAGGTATTTTATCTCCTTGGTTAAAATTATTCCCAAGTTTTTTTTTTTGTTATTGTTTTCCTCATTTCTTTTTCTGCCAGGTCAATTTTTTTTATAGAAATGTCATGGATTTTTGTATGTTGATTTTGTATCCTTTAACATTACTGGATTGATTCATTAGTTCTATCAGTTTTTTTGGTGGAGTATTTGGAGTTGTCTACATATAGGATTATATCATCTGCAAATAAAGGTAATTTAACTTCCTCCTTTCTGATTAGATACTTATTATTTTTTTTCTGATCTGATTAATCTTGCTAGTACTTCCAAGTTAAATAGAAGTGGTAAGAGTTTGCATTCTTGACTGAACACTGAAATATGATCTTTTTTATCTCTTGCTCAAATTCCTACCTAAAGATTCTGGAGAGTCACATCCTACAAACCACAAAATCTCATTAGATGAGTTTTATTTAGCCCTAAATAATGTGGTTTTCTTTCCAACCTGACTCCGGCATAAGACAACAGATAAAGAAGGACATCAATTTTTTCACCCCAAAATATGTTTCTTTGCTGTATTTTGAAATGGCTTTGCAAAGATATCTTTTGTGGGGGAAAATTTGAATCTGTAAAGAATCTCTGTTAACATAACTAGATCTTTCTCCTTCCAGGCAATGTTATAAAAAATTATAGAAATTGAGATGGTTTCCAGGGTGAAAAAGGAGATAGAATCTGGAGAAAAGTAAGTGAAGTTATACAAAAGTAATATGAAGAATCCTTATCATAATGAAAATATTCCTGTATCTTGACTATATCAATATATTTTAATACTTTACCATAGTTTTGCAGGATGTGAACACTGAAAAACTGGGTAATAGTACACCATATCTCTCTGTATTTTTTCTTACAACTACATGCAAATATACAATAATCTCAAAGAAAAACATGAAGTTAATGATAATACTTAGTTAATTTTTTTTAAGTAAGTATGAAAGAGAGCCTATCCTGGAAAATTTTAGCATCAGTTTAAAAATCTGATTTCCATAAATTTCAGCTTTCTCATACTTTTAAATTTTAACTATTTTTTCTTTGTGGTGGTTGTTAAATATTTTATTTCTGCCAGTCTGCTTTTTTCAATCCCTTTGTCAAGAGCTGAGCTGTGCTGAGGAGAACTAAGCTGCCTATTGTATGATTAGTTAATTGAAACAACAAACCAAAACCAAAGTAACAAGCAAGTCTTTATCTCTTACTCTGATTCCATAAGCAAGAGGCTAAATCAAAGAAAGTGCTGATGTCCCCGCTGTTCCATTTTACCCTGTGAAGCAAGGTCAGGTGGATCAGCACAGATGTGGAGCTCTGGTGGCCATGGAGAAGCAGAGAGGAGAGGGCTGGGACTAGAAAAGTACTGAGCAGTGAGTCAGAGTAGAGAAAAGTGTCTTACGGGTCTTTATTCCACCCCTCTCCCCCATAAGGAAGATTCTGCAGATATCTCCAGAGAAGGAATGCAGAATGCAGACAGGCATAAGAGCCTGGGCTCCAGGGGCCCCAGAGTCCTTGCCTGAAACTCCCTTCAGACACTGCCTTGCAAAACCTGTGAACAAAATATGGCGTGCGGAGGGCAGTTTTGCTCTATGTAAGATCTGCCAGTAAACCTAGCATAATTTCCTATGATTGAGCCTGAAAATCACATGTAGCATCTTGGCCAGGAACCAGGCCCCTCACTTATTTGCCTAAGTTGCCTCTATTGTTTTTAAAATGTGATGTTAAATCACTTTAATAATTGGATTAAATAATTCCTGTGGGACCATGTAAAGACACTTATGAACTAGGGACTACTCCAGGACACTCAGAAATGGAAGAAAGAGAGGAAAAGGGACAAAGCTTTCACAGAGTGGAAAGGCAGACAGTGCAGGCTGGTGAAAACCAAAATGAGCTGATTTCAAACAGAAATTTTTCATCAAAATATTTAGGTTTAGAAGCTCTAAGTTAAAATGTACACTTGTCCTATATATACCAAAGACTAAAAGATATAAAGTGTTCTAACTGATGAAGAATTTTATTTCAAACATCTAAAGCAACATATTCAAACTTGGTATAACGTACTGTTAAACATCAGACAGTTGTGGACTTAGGAAAAATATTCTATCAGTCAACTTGGTTTCTGACTCATATACAGGGTGTTAATAATAATCTTCATTAGTAGAACTTCTCACACTAGCATTGGTTACAAATATACGTAATGTGAATCAGATGATTACTTTTCCCCCAAGGGAATGTGAATGCTACAGAAATGCATTTTCTTACAGCTGACAATCTTTCACAGAATCCTGATATTTTGCTGAGTGTTCAGAATACTTTATGAGAGGACCAAAAAGTAGAAAATGCCACACATATGGTATCTCAATATGAGATTCAGATTGCGTATCAGATAATGTAAAATACATGTCAATTAAATAATTTTATTTTATTTCTGTTGCTTAGTTTCTGGGTCCTAGCAGATGATGCTCTAATAAGATTGACTCAGTCATTATACAGAAGTCTTATATTTTATATTCTTCAACAAATACCAGTCAGCACATATATGGTATCAAGGATCAAGAAGTCCAGTGCAGAATTGACAAAGTTACATAACCGGTTTATTTTTCCTTAAGTATTCTCTTAAAATTATCCATTCACTCTATTTTTAATATAAACCTTAATTGCTCGTGCATACATTTTGCCTTGTATTCAAGAAAATTATTCTTTAAGTTTTATTATTGTTATTAAAACATGTCAAAGAGTTGTTGAGTTTTAATAAAGACCCAACACTAAGAACAAAATAAAATATCTGTATAAATTTCAAGCAACCATTATTATACTCACACTTTTGAAGAAATTAAAAATAAATTATCAAAGTTAAATTTAAAACATATCCACAAACACAAACAATATTTTGTTGATATTTCACATTATACAATTTTTTCTCTTTTTCCAAATATTCCTGACATACTGCACTCCTGTTGCATAATTTTTGATAATAAACATTAGGATTTTGGTGGCCTAAATATAATGGCATTGAGTATGTTATAAATAAGTTAAAATATTGCAATAATAAATAAGTCAGGATATAAACATATTTGGAATCATGAAAATGAAATTGTTAGATGAGGACGGCAATGATAAGTCTTAGAAGAAACGAACACGATATATAGAAGGAAAGAAATAAAATTATTATATTCTATTTAAGCATCATTAAAGATGTTAATTATCAACACAGAGCTGCCCAATGCCCCTTTAAAAAGTTATTTTTGTTCAGCCTATTATAGAACAAACATACAAAAGATTAAATTAACAGAGTGTTCAATGTATGTATATAACCTAGGGAATAACTTGGAAAACATGCAAAATGAAAATAGTTATCCTTTATTATGGCATGACAGAAGCTGAATATCCTGCAATTTTTTTTTTTTTTTTTGAGACGGAGTCTCGCTGTCGCCCAGGCTGGAGTGCAGTGGCGCGACTTCGGCTCACGGCAAGCTCCGCCTCACAGGTTCTCGCCATTCTCCTGCCTCAGCGTCCCGAGTAGCTGGGACTACAGGCGCCCGCCAGCAGGCCCGGCTAATTTTTTTGTATTTTTAGTAGAGACGGGGTTCTGCAATGTGTTTTTATGTGTATATTATAATTTTATTTTTATGTTAATTTCTATAAAATTAATTGCTGTGGTAGGAAGGTGTGTGTGAACATGTTTGTGTGCCTCTGTGTTGCATTTATGTAAATCAGTGTATTATTTTTTCTTTTGGAAACTTTTTTTTAAATTTGTAAATTACACTTTTTGACAATGTATCTATACATTTCATACCATTTTTATAGCCTAGTTAAAAAAAGGCAGCATCTTTATTGTTTTTGTTTAGAATATATGAATTCTTTATACAATTTAATTTCATTCTTCATGGTATTATCTTGGGTACAATATTTTAAAACTATGACCTATGAATAAATTAATAAATTATGAAGATGTAATTATTTGCGGCACTGCTACTGCTGCCAGCAGGAATGTGCATGCTAAGGGTACCAGCCCTGCACCTGCCAGTGCCCTGCCGCTGTGCCAACACTGCTGCTGTCATAAATGTGCACACAGACTTGGGAAGTCCTGCATTGCCTGCACCACACCACCACTGCCACTGCTGTAAATGCCTGCATGGAGGCTGGCAGCCCTGTGTCTAATAGCATGCTGTCAGCCAATGAGCATACACCCTGCCACACTGCCAGCTCGGCTGGCATGTGCTAATGAGCATGGATCCTGCTGTCACCACCTAATGAAGTACTTTGGCTGGCACTACCTATCGGCGTATTGTGACCAGTGGTCTGGGAACAGCTTGGCCTCTGCAGCATAGCAGGTTTCTATCTTAAAGTGGCCAGTGATTTTTAACAAAGCCAAAGTCTTGGTACCAACCCCCAGAATTAGAGCATGCAGCCCAAGAATCCTAAGCTGAGCCTTTGCCGTCTAAAATCTTCCAGAAATGAAGCCAGGTGACTGAACTCACCCTATACCACAATCAAACCCCCAAAGACATCAAAAGGATGTATTTTTGACGTGGAAATAAAAGACTGTTACTAGCCACCACAAAAACAAAAAACAAACAAACAAACAAACAAAAAACACTTATGTAAAAGACCAGTGACACTATAAAGCAACCACACAATTATGTCTGCAAAATAACCAGCTAACAACATCATGACAGGATGAAATCTGCACAAATCTTGAATGTAAGGTGCTTCAGCCAAGCACCTTAAAGAGTGCAGGAGCATCAGGCCATGAAGATGAGAAAGATCCAGAGAAAGAACACTATCAATTCAGGAAGCCAGAGTGTCTCCTCACCTTCAAAAGACCACACTAGTTTCACAGTAATGGTTCTTAATCAGGCTGAAATGCTTCAAATGATAGAAATAAAATTCAGAGTATGAATAGGAATAAAGATTATCAAAATTCAGGAGAAAAGCAAAAACCAAGTCAAGGATTTTACGAAATCCAATTAAATAATACAGGAGACAAAAGATGAAATGGTTATTTTTTAAAAAAGAACAATTCTGTTCTGGTAGAACTGAGAAGTTACCTCAATAATTTTTGAATACGATCGCAGGTATTATCAGTAGAATTGGACAAGCTGAGGACAGAATCTCAGAGTTCAAAGACTGCCTCTCTGAAATAACTCTGTCAAACAAAAATAAATTAAGAAAACTATAAAGTAGTGAACAAAACTTTTGAGAAAAATGGCATAATGTAAAGATACCAAATATATTACTCACTGACATCCCTGAAAGAATGGGGGAGAAAGCAAGCAATTTGGAAAGGATATTTCAGGATATTGGCCATGATATTCCCTCAACCTCGCTAGAAAGGACAACGTTCAAATTCAGGAAATGCATAGAACCTCTGCAAAATGCTTCAAAAGAAGACCACCCTCAAGACAAATAATTATCAGGTTCTCCAATGTGAAGATGAAAGAAAAAAAAGTAAAAGAAAAACATTTAAAAGCTAGAGAGAAGGAGCAGATCACCAACAAAGGGAACCTCATTTGGCTAACAGCAAACCTTTCAGCAGAAACACTATAGGCCAGAAGGGACTGGGGGGCCTATATTCAGCATTTTTAAAGAAAATAATTTCCAAACAAGAATTTCATATCCAGCCAAACTAAACTTCAAAACTGAAAGAGAAATAAGATCCTTTTCAGACAAACAAATGCAAAGGGAATTCATTACCACCAGACCTGCCTTATGGGAGGTCCTGAATGGAGTGCTAAACATGGAAATAAAAAGCTGTTAGTAGCTACCACAAAAAAAACACACTTAAGTACATAGACCAGTGACACTATAAAGCAACCACACAATTACGTCTGTCTAATACCAACTAACAACAGGATGACAGGATCAAATCTGCACATATGAATAGTAACCATGAATGTAAGAGGGCTAAATGCCCCCAATTAAAAGGCACAGAGTGTCCAGTTGAAGAAAGAAGCAAAATCTGTATGCTGTATGCCATCTCCAAGAAATCCATCTTAAATGCAATGACACCAATAGGCTCAAAGTAAAGGGATGGAGAAAAATCTACCAAGCAAATGGCAAACAGAAAAAAAGCAGGGGTTGATACTCTAATTCAGAAAAAAAAAATGGACTTTAAACAATGATAAAAAACACAAAGGAGGTCATTACATAACAGTAAAGGGCTCACTTCAACAAGACTTAACTATAATAAATATAGAAACATCCAACACAGGATCACCCAGATTAATAAAACAAGTTCCTGGATTAATAAAGCAAGTCTAAGAGACTTAGATAACCATACAATAATTCAGGGAGACTTCAATACCCTACTAAAAGTGTTAGATAGATCGTCAAGGCAGAAAACTAAAAGAGGTATTTGGGACCTGAACTCAACCTTCAACAAAATGGATCTAATAGACATCTGAAGAACTCTCCACCCAAAACAAGAGAATGTACATTCTTCTATTCTTCACATGGCACATACTCCATTATCAACCACATGGTCAGACATGAAACATTCCTCATCAAATTCAAAGAAACTGAAATCATACCAACCACACCCTCAGACCACAGTGCAATACAAATAGAAATCAAAGCTACAAATGTCTCTTAAAACCACACAATTACAAGGAAACTAAACCACCTGTTTCTGAATGACTTCTAGGTAAATAATGAAATTAAGGCAGAAATCAAGACATTCTTTGACACTAATGAGAACAAAGATATAATATATCATAATCTTTGAGCACAGATAAAGCAATATTAGAAGAAAAGTTTATAATCCAAAACAACCACATCAAAAAGTTAGAGAGACAATTAACAACTCAACATAACAACTAGAGGAACTAGAGAAACAAGAGCAACCCAACCCCAAAGTCAGCAAAAGACAAGAAATAACCAAAATTAGAGCTGAATTAAAGAAAATTGTCATGAGAAAAACCATAAAAAATGTTTCTAGGAGTTGGTTTTTTGAAAGAATGAATAAGATTGATATACCACTTCACTAAACTAATATAAAAGAGAGAAGATACAAATAAAAACAATCAGAAATGATAAAGAGTATACCTGATTCAGTAGAAATTAAAAAAAAAAACTCTTAGAGACTATTATGAAGACCTCTATGCAAACAAACTAGAAAATATAGAAGGAATTGATAAATTATTAGAAACATATAACCTCCTAAGATTGAACCAGGAAGAACAGAAACCTTGAACACACTATTAATGCATTCTGAAATCGAATCAGTAATAAAAAGCCTATCAACCAGAAAAGTCCAGGACCAGACAGATTCACAGGCAAATTCTACCAGACATATAGAGAAGAGCTGATATCATTTCTACTGAGACTCCTCCAAAATGTGAGAAGAAAGGACTGCTCCCTAACTCATTCCATGAGGCCAGCATCATCCTGATACCAAAACATGGTAGAGACACACAAGAAAAGAACACATCAGGCCAATGTTCTTGATGGATATAGATGCAAAGATCCTCAATAAAATACTGGCAAGCCAAATCCAGCAGCACGTCGAAAAGCTTATCTACCATGACTGAGTAGGCTTTATTCCTGGGAAGCAAGGTTGCTTCAAATAGGCAAGTTAATAAATGTGATTCACCACATAAACATATCTAATAGCAAAAACCACACGATCATCTCAATAGATGCAGAAAACGCTTTCAATAAAATATAACATAGCTTTATGTAAATACCCTCAACAAATGAGGCATTGGTGGAACCTACCTCAAAATAATAAGTCATCTATGAAAACTCACAGCAAATATCACACAGAATGGGCAACAACTGGCAGCATTCTTGAAAACTGGAACAAGACAGTGATATCCTGTCTCACCACTCCTATTCAACATAGTACTGAAAGTCCCAGCCAGAGCAATCAGGAAAGAAATAGAAATAAAAAACATCCAAATAGGAAGAAATGAAGCCAAACTATCCTTATTTGCAGACAATATGATTCTATACCTAGAAAACTTCATGGTGTCTACTTATAAGCTAGTTGATGTGATAAAGTACTTCAGCAAAGTTTCAGGATACAAAAGCAATGCACAAAATCAGTAGCATTTCTATACACCAACAATATATCCAAGCAGAGAGTCAAGTCAAGAACACAATCCCATTACTAATAGCCACCAAAAACAAAAAAAAGAATAAAATACCTGGGAATACATCTAACCAGGGAGGTTAAAGATCTCATGAACAAGAATTACAAAACATTGCTGTATGAAATCATACATGAAAGAAACAAATGGGAAAACATTCCATGCTCATAGTTAGGAAAAGTAAATATTGTTAAAATGATCATACTGTCCAAAGCAATTTACAAATTCAATGCTATTTTTAGCAAACTACCAGTGACACTCTTCACAGAATTAGAAAAACTATTTTAAAATTCATATGGAACTAAAAAAGAACCCAAATAGCAAAGGCAATTCTAAGCAAAAAGAACAAAGCTGAGGCATCACATTACCCAACTTCAAAATATACTGCAAGGCTATGATAACCAAAACAGCATGTTACTGATACAAAAACAGATACGTAGACCAATGGAACAAAACAGAGAGATGGAAAATAAGGCCATACACCTGCAACCATCTGATCTTTGATAAAATTGACCAAAACAAGCAATGGGGAAAGGATGCTACTGGTTAAACTGGCTATCCATTCCCCGAAAATTGAAACTGGACCCTTTCTTTATACCAGATACAAATATCAACTAAAGATGAATTAAAGACTTAAATGTAGAACCTAAAAGTATGAAAACTCTAAAAGAAACCTATGAAATACCATTCTGAACATAGGAACTGGTGAAGATCTCATGATGAAGATGCCAAAAGCAATCTCAAGAAAAACAAAAAAATAACAAATAGGACCTAATTGAATTAAATAACTTCTGCACAGAAAAATAAACTATCAACAAAGTAAAGAGACGATCCACAGAAACGGAGAAAATATTTGCAAGCTATACATCCAACAAAGGTCTAATAACCAAAATCTATATGAAACTTAAACAAATTTATAAGCAAAAAACAAATATCCCCATTAAAAAGTGTTCAAAGTACATGAACAGACACTTTTCAAAAGAAGGCATACAGGAAGCCAACAAACATGAAAAACAATTCAACAAAACTTATCATTAGAGAAATGCAAATCAAAACCACACTGAGATACCATCTCCCGCCAGTCAGATGGCTATTATTAAATAGTCAAAAAAATAACAGAAGCTGGTGAGGTTGCAAAGAAAAGGTAATGCTTAAACATGACTGGAGGGAATGTAAATTAGTTCAGCCATTATGGAAAGTTTGTAAATTTCTCAAGGAGCATAGCAGAATTACCATGCAACCCACCAATTTCATTATTGGGTATATACCTAGAGGAATATAAACTGTTCTACCGCAAAGACTCATGCACACATATGTTCATTGCTGCACCATTCCCAAAAGCAAAGACATAGAATCAACCTAGATGCACATCAGTGGTGGACTGGATGAAGAAAATGTGTACATATACACCAAAGAATACCATGCAGCCATAAAAAATAATGAGATGATGTCATTTGCAGCAACATGGATGGAGCTGGAGAACAGTAATTGAATCAAACTAAAATATGAACAGAAAATGAAATACTGCATGTTCTCACTTATAAGTGGAAGCTAAACATTGAACACATATGGATACAAAGAAGAGAACAGACACCAGGGCCCACTTGAGGATAGTGGGTGGAGGAAAGAGGTTGAGGATAAAAAAAGTACCTATTGGGTACTATGTTGCTTACCCAGGTGATGAATTAACCTGTACACCAAACTCCTGCAATGCAAAATTTACCTATATAACAAATCTGCATATATATCCCTAAAATAAAAGTAAAAACAAGAATAAATTAATGTTTTAAATTTTAAAAATGTGCATATTTAATGACTCTTACTCTTCTATTAATAGGTTAAACTTATAAGAATTGAACATATTCTCCTGAAACTAGAAATCATCATGTTGGCTTGTTAGTGTTTTGTAATAGATGTTGTTGCAACCGTATTTTCATGCCATTTATTAAATTAAAAGGTAGACCATAAAATAATAGGACAATAATTTATTCAGGATTGCATTTAAACACTAGAAATTACACAGTTGTAACAAAAGATAGTTATTACGGATTTCTTACAAAATACCTTCTTAAGCCACTATAATAAATATTCATTTTCTCTTTTAAAACATGCAAAAGGAAAATATTAACAAAACTTATGGTTCAACATGTATTATTTTAATATATTGATAATACTTTAAAGCAATCTTAAACCATAGTAAGGGTAATTGATATTAACATATATACTAATTATTTTGTGTAAGTTATAGAAATTGCATAAATAAGTTTGTTGGAGAAAGTCAAACGGCAATGTATGTTAACCTTTCTGCAAAGAAGTGATTGATTTATTAAATAGCAGTAAATAACAGCTTAATTGAGGTATAACTAACATTCAATAATATACATTACATATAAATTGTATAAGTTGTTAAGTTTTTACTTATGAGATGAAATCATTACTGCAACCAAGATAGTGAACTTATCCATCACCCCTAGAAGCTTTTGTATGCCCATTTGTAATCATCCACCTTCTTTTTGTTTCTTTTTTTAACATGCAAGTATTGATGTGCGCTCTGTGGCTATAAAATAATGCGCATTTTTAGAGATTTATATCAATGGAATTAAACAAAAATGAACATCTTTTGGTTTAGCTTTTATTCTCAGCATAATTTTTTGAAGAGTAGAATTCATTATTTGAATATACAAAAACTATTTTTTGAATCAACTTGTTGATGGACATTTGAATTATTTCCAGGTTTGGCTATTACCATGAAGTTTCTATAGACACTCATGTATAAGTCCTTGCATAGATATATGTATAGTTTTCCCTTGAGTAAATACCTGGAAGTGAAATAAATGTATTATAACATAGGTATATGTTTAACTTTTAAAAAATGTAAAAGTATATCATTGTGGTTTTATTTCTCATTTTTCTCATAACAACTATGATATTGAGCATCTTCTTATGAGATGCTATACCATCCATATATTTCCTTGGTAAAGTGTTTGTTCAAATATGTTTCTCATTTTTAAGAATTTTTAAATTTTGTTTTATTGTCACATGTAAAGGTTTTGGATAAGATATGTTATATATGAAAGGTTCTAATCACATGTAGGTTTTGCATATATTTTCCTCCCCACTCAAGCTTGTCTTTTTATTTAATCACTTTTATTACTAGTGTTGAAGAGCAGAGATTTTTAATTTTGATAAAGGTTTTTTTTTATGAAATCTACTTTTTACGTAAGAAATAGATACAACCTAGTGAACCTAAGTTTTTTAAATCTGGGCTTATATTTAAGTCTAATCCATTTTAAGTTAATTTTTATACAGTCATGCATCACTTAATGATGGGGATGTGTATTAAGAAATGCATCATTAGGTGATTTCATAACTCTGTGGACATTATAGAATGTATTTACACAAACCTAGGTGGTGTAGGTTACTACACACTTGGGCTATGTGGAATAACCTATTGCTCCTATAAACCTGTACAGCATGCTACTCTACTGAATACTGTAGGCAATTGTAACACAATGGTAAGTATTTGTGTATCTCAACATACTTAAACATAGAAAAGGTACATTAAAAATATGATATAAAATATAAAAAAAGGTACATCTGTATAGGGGACTTATAATGAATGCAGCTTGCAGGAGTGGAAGCTGCTCTGAATGAGTCAATGAGGAGTGAATGTAAAGGCACAGGACATCACTGTACATCACTGTAGACTTTTTAAACATGGGCTTACTTAGGCTACTAATGAAACTGAGTATAAAATGCAAACACATTATACAGCTGTACAAAAATATCATCTTTCTTTATATCCTTACTGTATAAGCTTTTTCTGCTTTTAAACTTTTTCTGCTTTCATTTCAACATTTTTTGTTAAAAACTGAGACACAAACACACAAATAAGCCTAGGCCTCCACAGGGTCAGGATCATCAATATCACTGTCTACCACCTCCACTTCTAATATCACTAGAAAGTCTTTAGGGCCAATAATATGTATGAAGCCATTATCTCCTATGATAACAATGCCTTCTTCTAGAATATCTGCTAAAGTGCCTGCCTGAAATTATTTTACAGTTATTTTCCTGTCATAAGGAGAAGGAGTGCAGTCTACAATAATAAAAAAATATAGTATAGTAAATACATAAACCAGTTAGTTGTATTACCATTATCAAGTATTATGCACTGTACATAATTGTATGTGCTAGATTTTTAAACAACTGGTAGTGCAGTAGGTTTGTTTACACGAGCATCACCACAAACCTGTGAGGTATGTGATGCACACTGATGTTATGATGGCTACAGTCACTAGGTTGTGGAAACTTTTCAGCTCCATTAGATTCTTATGAGACCACCATTGTGTATGCAATCCATGGCTGACCAAAATGTCTTTATGTGGCACGACACTATGTTGTACAAGTTTATTTTTTTTTTGTATATGGATACTCAATTTTTCTTGCAACGTTGTTGACAATACTATTTTTCTCCACTGAATTGCCTTGTAGGTTTGTAAAAAAATAATTTGTCTAAGTCTGTTGAAACAGAACAAGGTCTATGTTCTAGTTAACAGTATGATATCAAGGCCAATTTTGTGTTTAAAATATAGCATTACAGTTATATGAGATGTCACAATTTGGGGGAGCTAGGAGAAAGATTCAAAGTACTTTATGTGCTGTCTTTACAATTTTCTAGAAGTCTATAATTACTTCAAAATAAAAATTTAAAAAACATTTGTTTATATATGTTTAGGTATACAACTGGATTCTCTATTATGTTCCATTGAACATTTTTTTTCTGTCTTTATGCCGGTACCACAATAATGATTATCATAGCTTTACAAGAGACCTTACAATTATATACAATTAAGCTTCCAACCTTTTAATTATTTTTCAAAGATTTTGTTGTATTCTGGGTTCTTTGCATTTCTCTTGTATTTTCTTTTCTTTTCTCTTCTTTTCTTTCTCCTCCTTTCTCTTCCTTTCTTTCCTGTCTTTCCTCTTTCCTTTCTTTCTTTCTTTTTCTTTTCTTTCTTTCTTCTTTTCTTTTCTTTTTTTCCTTTTTTTGAGACAGGATCTCACTCTGTCATACAGGCTGGAGGACAGTGGCCAGTCATGGCTCATTGCAGCCTCCAACTTCTGAGCTCAAGAGATCCTTTTGCCTCAGCCTACAAAGTAGCTAGGACTACAGTATGCAACACCATGCCCAGCTAATTTTTTAATTTTTCATTTGTAGAGACAGAGTCTTGCTATGTTGCCCAGGCTGGTCTCAGACTCCTGGCCTCAAGCAATCCTCCTATTCGGCCTCCCGAAGTATTGGGATTACAGATGTGAGCCACTGCACCCAGCCTGCATTTCTATATAAATTTTAGAATCAGCTTTTAAATTTCCATAAGATAGTCTACTAATATTTTGATTGGGATTACAATTAATTTATAAATCAATTTAGGAAAAACTGAAATCCTAACAACTTTGAGTTTTCTGAGCAGTAAAGCAGTTACATCTCTCCTTTTAGCTAAATCTTCTCTTAGCAAGAATTTGTAGTTTTCATTGTAATAATCTTAAGCAGCTTAAGTCCAATTTGCCTAGGGGAATTTTCTTAAAGTATTTTTCTAAAATAATTCGGATAGAATTATATATTGTATTTTAATAAAATTTTAATCCTTAGTTGCTTGTAGCATATAAAAGGGCATATAATTATTTTATATGAATCTTATATACTGCATAGTATTTGCATATAATTTATGCACATTTTCCCATGTACTTTAAATCATCTCTGGATTACTTAAAATATCTAACGCAATGTAAATACTATGTAAATTGCTGTTGTACTGTATTATGTTTATTTGTATTATTTTTATTGATGTATTATTTTTTATTGTTTCTTCTGAAAACTTTTGATCCTCAACTTGGCAAATCTACAGATACAGAATCTGGGAATACAGATAACCAACTGTATGATATTTTGGTTCTTTTGTTACTCTATTTTTTATCTCTTCATTTTGTCTTGCTTTGCTTAGTTTGGGCTTAAGTTACACATCTGTCTTAGTGCCTTAAGTTAGAAGCCGATGTTATTCATTTCAGATCTTTATTTTTTCTAAAACAGATGTTTAATAGTATACTTTTTCTTATAACTACTGATTCAGCAGCATCACACAAATTTTAATATGTTGTCATTTTTAAAATCTCCATTTAGTTTAAAAATTTGGTTTAAATTACTAAATACTTAATAATTTATCATTTTTGACCATAAGATATTTAGAATTTAATTAATTTAACATTAAATTACCAAATATTTGAGGCTTAAAAAATTAATGGAATTCTATTTTAATTTAATTTTGATCAGAGAGCATAAATTGACTTTAATTATATTACATTGACTTGTTTTATGACCCAAATATGGGTTATCCTGATAAATATTGTATATGGATTTGAAAAGAATATCTATTCTTGTATTATTGGTTAGATAGTTGGTTGATAACGTTTAAATCTATATCCTCACTGATTTTTTGTCTACTTGTTCTATCAGTCTTTGAAAGAGAGGTATTGAAATCTTCCATAATAATTTTAGATTTGTCAATTTGTTTTTGTAGTTCTATCAGGTTTTGTTTTATGTATTTTGTAGCTCTATTTTCAGCTACATGATCATTTATCATTGTTGTGGTTTCTTGATGAATTGACCCCTCTATCATTATGAAATGGCCTTCTTTATTGCTGGGAATATTCATTGCTCTGAAACCTATATTTCATGTATTCTTTCTTTTAAAAAATAGTATTTTCTTGACATATTTTTAAAATTCTCTTACTTTTAAACAAATGTATTATTTTATTTTAAGTGTTTCTTACAGGTGGCATATAGTTGATTTTTGCTTCTCCATACTATCTGATAATCTGTCCCTTGTAATTTCCATATTTATACCATTTATATTTAGTATGATCATGGATGTGTTTACTTTTAAGTCTATCATTTCAGCATTTGTTTCGTATTTGTCCAACATGTACTTTGTTTCCTTTTTCTCTTTTCTTGTACTTTCTTTTCCATTTGTATTTTTATGGTTTCATTTTTAATTCTTAGTCCTTTATTAGCTGTTAGGTATAATTCTATATTTTAATAATTGCCTTAGCGTTTCTAAAAGTGATTTTTGATCAGCGGTAATTTTGTACCACCACAGGATATTTGGCTATGTCTGGAGACATGGTTGTCACATACGATAGGACATGCTAATAGTGTTAAGTTGGTAGAATTCAGGGATGCTGCCAAATGTCACGCAATACATAAGCCAGCTCCTCATGGTGAAGAATCATTCAGTCAGTAATGCTAAGGTTGAGAAACTCTAGTTTAGTATGTGTCTTTAATTTATCATAGTTTTCCTGAAAGTATTATCATACAACTTTAAGAATACTTAAATAGTATAATTCCATTTCTCCACTCTGTGTCTCTATGCTGTTGTTTTCATATATTTTAGTCCTATGTGCGTTATTAACTCTAACTACACTTTTATTATTTTTCTTTAATGGGTTATATTTTAAAGAGATTTAAATAATAACAAAAGATTATATATTTTTCAATACAGTTGCCATTTATGGTGCTCTTCATTGCTCGTTTATGTCTACATATCTATCCAATATACTATACGTTTCACACTGAAGGACTTCTTTAGCATTTCTTGTAGTGTGGTTTTGTTATTAATACTTTTTTTTAGATTTCTATCCCTTATAAAGTCCTCACTTACCCTTCACTTTGAAAGATGGTTTCTCTGGATTGGCAATCCTAGATTCATAGTTATTTTTGTTTTCTTTCTGGACCTTAAATACACTTCCCTGCTTTGTTGCCATTGTTTCTGATGAAATATATCTGCTGTATATATACGCATATATATATCATATATACACACATACGTCTACCTTTATTATAAAATTTATTAACACTAGAAGATGTGTGGCACAAAGTTTACAAATAATAATAAAATATATGATATTCTGTTTTTTTTAAAAAAAGAAATATATCTGCTGTAATTCTTACCTTTGTTTCTTTTTGTGTTCTGAGTCTTTTTTCTCAGAATACTTTTAAGATTTTCCCTTCCTGGCTGCTTTTAAGCAATTTGGTTATGTGATAGTTTGATGCCGTTTTCTGCAGATTTTTTGTGCTTTGAAGTTGTTTAGCTTCTTAAAACTTGGTTTATTGTTTTTAATCAAATCTAGACATATTCAGTCACTTTTTCTTCTGCTCTCATTTCTTTGAAGGCTCGAATTGCATGTGTCTAAGCCATTTGATGCCATCCCACAGCTTATTTAGGTTCATTCTATTGCTATTTCTTTAAGTTCATTTAAGAAAATATTTTCTTCTGTAATGTCCTATTTGGTGTTAATGCTGTCCATAGATTGCCACATTAGAAATTGTAGTTTTCATTTTTAAATGTTCAATTTGTTCTTTAATTTTTTTCATGTCTCGACTTGATTTTTGAACATATAGATACAGATTAAATAACTTTCTTTGTTCTTGATTGTGAATTCTAACATATCTGTCAGTTCTGGGTTAATTTTGAATGATTATTCTCTGAACTATGGGCTTATATTTTTATTTATTTTTTGCCTTTTTGTTAATATTTCACTGCATGGTAGCCATTTTAAATTTTACTTTTTGGGTAATGGATATTTTGCATTTTTACATGTATTATTGAGCTTTAATCTGGGATGTGGTTAAATTAATTGGACTTATTAATTATTTTGCTTCTTGCTTTTAATATTTGTTATGCAGGAACAGAGCAAAGCCTAGTCTAGGGTTTATTATTTCCTACTACTGAGGTAAGATCATTCTGAGTACTTTTCCAATGTCCTATGACATACTGCATACTTATGAAGCCTTCCTTTGCCAGTACTAGAAACTGTTCCCTTTAATCCTTGGAGATAGTTCCTTCCATGTTTTCAGATAGCTTCTTCATATGCAGTGTGTTGATCAACATTCTGCTGAATACTTTAGGGGAACATTCTGAAGATCTTTGGAGTTCTTTTCCTGTGTGGCTTTTTAGTATTTGGTACTATTAATATATCCTGCAACCGCATCTACCTTAGTTTGCTACACTTTTAACTCTCTCTCTTCATGTTATTGTAACCCCTGAACTCTGCGTAGGTTCCTTCTTCTGATGCCATTCCTGAATCTCTCCAAAGACAGAAATCAATATTAGGGCTCACTTCATTTTTTTTCTTATATCTAAGCATTCAATGTATTTTGTTGCTTGATGTCCAATGTCCTGAGAACCATTGTATTATATATTTTGTCCGTTTTTTAATTATTTGTTTGTTTTAGGCAGATATAGAAATCTGACCCCTTTTACCTCATCTTCACTGAAAGCAGAAGCCTCTTTAATAGTATTTTTAATGTTTTTGATTATTATAGCAAATAAGGAGGAAAAAAGGAGAAGAGAACATTTGCTAAAGCTATATATCTTCTTATAAATTGGTAGGTGGAGCATCAAGTTCCTAAGATAAAAAATATTTTGACTGCCATTAAAATTAAGAAAGACAAAAGACATCACTTGAACTAATTCGAAGAAAAGCCAACATTGTCGTAAGACTACATTTCTCAACTTTAAAGATAGTATGCTGTGTCAAAGGGTGAAATCCCAGACAGTGCAAAGCGCTGGCTTTAGCCGCCTAAGCTGCATGGTATCCTGAAGATTGTCTTGTCATGCTGGAAGGTCAGGTTCACAAGGCTCACTAGAGAGGTTTCTCCCCACATAGAGAGAAAAAAGGAGTAGCAGAAGTTTTCTGCTTACTGAGAAGATAACTTTGGTCTCAGTGTGAGAGCAGGGTGGTCACAGTTCTCCAGGCTGAACTTTCTGTAAGCCTATCTATAATGCTTATGCAGGGAGTAGAAAGGAGAGTTTGACTGTAACCTTTTCTCTTTTTTAGGACCTGATAGCATGTATCTAGCGATGACAAAAAAAAAAAAAAAAAAAAAAAAAAGAAAAGGGTAGGAGATACCAAAAAAACATCTAGCATTGTAGGTAATTTTCACATAAGGAAAATAAAACCATGACACAATTCTAAGCAGTCATGAAATGGGAGGGGAAAAGAAAAATGAAATAGAATGCAAGCACAACAGAGTTGTAAAAAAAAAAAAGCCATATTTTTAAGAGTTTATGATGTTGGAGCCAATTTCTCTGGGCCATTGCCTTTAAACCGTTAAAGGCTGTCTGTGACTTTTTTGGTCAATTTTATAGTTCAGACATTGTAACTATATTACCAAGTGATGTTAGTATACCAATCAATGTTTATACAATTCATGTTTTTGTTGAATGTCATTTATTGGCTTTCATTTAAAAGGCTTCTCAGGTATTGATCAATTTTTGAAAGAGGTTTTGATCATTAACTTTCCCTCTACTCTAAAGATTACATGTAAATATATAGATATGTCTATACACACATAATATATACACAGAGAGAAATCTAGTTGAACTATGTTAACAACTTTCACTTTTTCAAATTCCACTTAAGTATTTCGCTTAAAATTGGTGGCAAGTTTTATTGTTTAAAAACTTCTTACAATAACCTGGCTACCTTTCTTCGTTTTCCTAAATTTGTTTTATCTATTTTAACATTTGTTCAAATGTTAAAATTTAAATTATCTGCTGATAAAAATCACATGTATTTTCAGTGTTATCTGGTGACGTTTATGTTTTAGCCATCTTAGAACCATATGGAAATAGCTGTTTTGGGATTATGTTCTTAGGCTCTTTAATACAACTAACCAAGGCATCTTGAACTTATACTAGTCCTTCATTGTCTCCCTCTTATTGATTAGGATATACTTGTATCCTAGATGACTGATAATTATACTCACAGATTTTCCATTCGAAATATATTTACTTTCCCATATAAAGTAATTTTTTGATAACATGTTTCAACCAGTGACTTTTATCTAGTCACTGAAGTTATATATCAATACATCATTGAGACATGATCCACAATTTATATAATGTGATAGTTAATACTGAGTGACAACTGTATTGGATTGAAAGATGCAAAGATGAACTGTATTGTATTGAAAGATGCAAAGTACTGTTTTCGGGTGTGTCTTTGAGGGTATTGCCAAAGGAGATTAACATTTGAATCAGTGGACTGGGAGACAGGCCCACCCTTAATCTGGGTGGGCACAATCTAACTGGCTTCCAGCAGGGCCCAAACAAAGCAGGCAGAAGAACCTGGAAAGAGCAGACTTGCTGAGTCTTCCTGCCTTTATCTTTCTTCTTTGCTGGATGTTTCCTGCCCTTGAACATCAGACTCCAAGTTCTTCAGCTTTGGACTCTTGGACTTACACAAGTGATTTGACGGGGCTTTCAAGCCTTCAGCTTGACTAAAGGCTGCACTGTCAGCTTCTCTACTTTTAGAGTTTTGGGACTTGGACTGGCTTCCTTGCTTCTTAGCCTGCAGATGGCCTATTGAGGGACTTCACCTTGTGATCATGTGAGAAAATTTTTCTAATAAACTCCTCTTGATATATACACATATCCTGCTAGTTCTGTCCCTTTGAGAACCCTGACTAATATAGATTCTGGTACTGGGAATGGTTCTAGAGGAACAGAAGTTTAGAGTTCTTTAGTTGGTTTTGGGGTTTCTGGAGTTGGATGCTAAATATGATTAAACCCAAAAGTTCTAAGGACCCTACTTCTAATAGTATGGAGAACACTGATAGTCCTTGGTGTGAAATGTTTAAAGAACTATGCAAAACAAATGTATTTGATACTCCTGATTCACCTTTCATGAGAGGCAAGGAGTTTAGCGTCTCTATACATAATACCTTTGACCACATGCGGATAACCAAGGAATATAATGAAGTTGGTTGGTTGCTCCTAAGTTTGCTGGACAACGTGACTAAAGGAAAAGGTGAACTCAGGGATTCTGTCTGCTGGCTCCAGAAGCACATACTGAGCCTCAAGTCTCCTAAGATTGCCCTGAGTGAGAGTCTCACCTCCTGTAGCAAAGGGCTGAAATTATGGAAAGTCAGACACAAGCTCTTATCATGCGAGTGGCTGACCTGCAATGAAAGGTGCATGCTCAGTCTCACCAGGTGTCTACTGTTGAAGTGAGGACATAGAATGGAAAAGAATGGGACCCTGCAATTTGGAATGGGGAATGTTTAGGAGGGCCCTGATGAAGCTGGGGACACTGAGCTTGTAAACTCTGGTGAGCCTTTTTTCCCAGAAAAAACATTCTGCCCACCCACAGTGGGGGCAACATCCCCTCCCCCACCCACACTGCAATCAGCCTTTCCATCTTTGACTGAGGAGGTTAACCATGTGTTGCCTGAGGCAGCAGTGATGGCCTCCCCTGAGGCAGTTACCAGTCAAGGCAATGCTGCTTTTCCTCAAGACCCACCCTCTACACGCCTGTTTTCTTCTAGACCTATAACTAGACTCAAGTCCTGTCCGGATCCTAGAGGGGAGATTCATATTGTGGCCCACAAAGAGATACACTACACTCCAAAAGAATTGCCTGAGTTTTCTAATTTATATAAGCAGAAATCTGAAGAACAGGCATGGGAATGGATGTCAAGGGTGTGGGATAATAGTGGAAGGAACGTAACATTGGATCAGGCTGAATTTACTGATACAGTCTCACTAAGCAGGGGCTCTGCATTGAATGCTGCAGCTCAGGAAGTTAAAAAAGGTTCTAGTAGTTTATTTGCTTGGTTAGGTGAAATAAGGATCAAAAGATGGCCCACTGTGAGTGAGCTGAAAATGTCCTATCTCCCTGGGTTTAATGTAAAGGAAGGGATGCAAAGGGAGATTTGAATGCCAGTGTGGATTAGTCACTTTAGACCTACTCATCCCGCCTGGGAGAATCCAAAGACATACCCTTCACCAATACTTTGTGAAACAGATTTGTGAGGGGAGCAACTGCATGCTTGAAGAGCTCTGTGATTGCTTTTTTCTGTATGCCAGATCTTACAGTGGGAACTGCAGCTACTCAATAAGAAAATTTAAATACAATGCGAATAATTGGATCTCAAGGTGGCAGGGACCAAATGGTGACACACAAACATCAAAGGCAAGGTGGGCATCATTACCTTAATGGATAGCAGAGGCAAAGCAGCAATCAGAATTGTCTGACTCATGTAGAGCTCTGGCATTGGCTAATTTATCGCAATATTCCTAGAAGTGAAATTGATAGGAAACTTACTGCATTCCTACTTAATTTGTATAAGCAGAAAACTTCCAGGTTGAGTCAACAAAAGTATATTTTGATTTATAAAAATAAAAAATCACAGCCCCATCAATCCATTTCCATACTTGAACCAGTTTATAGACCCAGAACGCCTTGAATGAAGGGGAGGCCAGGTCCCCTTGAGGAAGGACCCCACTATGTTATCGACAGTTTATACTGTTAATCTTTCTCCCATCCTTCCCCAGGGAAACCTCCGGCCTTTTACCAGGGTAACTGTGCACTGGGGAAAAGGAAAATGATCAGACATTTCGGGGAATGTCTGTCTCTGAGCTGACACTGATTCCAGGGGGCCCCAATTGTCACTGTGGTCCTCCCGTTAAAGTAGGGGCTGATGGAGGTCAGGGAATTAATTAACTGAGTTTCAGCTTAGGTCCGATTTACAGTGGGTCCAGTTGGTCCCTGGACTCATCCTGTGGTCATTTCCCCAGTCCCAGAATGTAAAATTGGCATAGACATATTTAGCAGTTGGCGGAACCCCACACTGGCTCCCTGACTGGTAGGGTGAGAGCTATTATGGCAGAAAAGGTCAAATGGAAGCCATTAGAGCCGTCTCTACCTAGAAAAATAGTAAATCAAAAACAGTATTGCATCCCTGAAGGAATTGTGGAGATTAGTGCCACCATCAAGGACTTGAAAGACGCAGGGGTGGTGATTCCCACCACATCCCCATTCAACTCTCCTATATGGCCTGGCCTTACCATGTTCCCCATCATCCTGAAACAGCTGGATGGATAGAACGGTGGAATGCCCTTATGAAGTCATAATTATAATGCCAATCTAGGTGGCAATACTTTGCAAGGCTGAGGCTAACTTCTCCTGAAGGCTGTGTATGCTCTGGATCAGTGTCCAATATATGGTACTGTTTCTCCCATAGCCAGGATTGATGGGTCCAGGAATCAAGGGGCGGAAGTGGAACCACTCACCATCACCTCTAGTGACCCTGTATTAGTCAAGGTTCTCTAGTGGGACAGAACTAAAGAAATAGACATATACAAAAAGGGGAATTTATTAAGTACTAACTCACATGATCACAAGTTCCCACAATAGGCTGTCTGCAGGCTGAGGAGAAAGGAGAGCCAGTCTGAGTTCCAAAACTGAAGAACTTGGAATCCAATGTTCGAGAGCAGGACTCATCAAGTGCTGGAGAAAGATGTAGGCTGAGAGGCTAGGACAGTCTCTCTTTTCACATTTTCCTGCCTGCTTTATATTCTAACTGCACTGGCAGCTGATTAGACTGTGCCCACCCAGGTTAAGGGTGGGTCAGCCTTTCCTAGCCCACTGACTCAAATGTTAATTTCCTTTGGCAACACCCTCACAGACACACCCAGGAACAATACTTTGTATCCTTCAATCCAATCAAGTTAACACTCAGTATTAACTATCACAGACCCACTAGCAAAATTCTTGCCTCCTGTTCCCGTGACATTATGTTCTGCTGGCCTAGACCTCTTCTTTCCAGAGGGAGGAATGCTGCCACCACAGGACACAACAATACTTTCATTAAACTGGAAGTTAAAATTGCCACCTGTTCACTTTGGCCTTCTCTTATCTCTAAGTCAACAGGCTAGGAAGGGAGTTACAGTGTTGGCTGGGGATATTGACCTGGACTATCAAGATGAAATCAGTCTACTGCTCCACAATGGAGGTAAGGAAGAATATATGGAATACAGGAGATCTCTTAGGGCATCTTACAGTATTACCATGCTCTGTGACTAAGTTCAATGGGAAACTATAACAGCCCAATCCAGGCAGAACTACAAATGGTCCAGATCCTTCAGGAATGAAAGTTTGGGTCACTCCACCAGGTAAAAATCCATGACCTTCTGTGGTGCTTGCTGAAGGTAAAGGGAATATAGAATGGGTAGTAGAAGAAGGTAGTCATCAATACCAGCTACAACCTTGTGACCGGTTGCAGAAACGGGGACAGTAATTGTCAGAAGTATTTTCTCCTTGTTTTGTTAAGAACACTTTTGTGCATGTATACATTTGTACTAAGAACATATCTTCATTTCATTTTCTTTCTTTTTCCTTTATCATGTGACATAAGATTTATTGACTTCATATCAGCATTTAACTGTTGTTAACTTCATGTAATCACATTTAGGTTAAAGATTAGTGTGCTTCTGGTTGTACGAAGGATAGTTGTTTTGTGTTCTGTGTAATTGTGATCTTATTTGCTTTATTTGAAAATTATATATAATTTCAGGAAATGTTTATGGATTCAAGCTGACAACGAGTGTACTTGTGATGATTAATATTGAGTGTCAAATTGATTGGACTGAAGGATGCACAGTATTGTTCTTGGGTGTGTCTTTGAGGGTGTTGCCAAAGGAGATTAACATTTGAATCAGTGGACTGGGAGAGGCAGACTCACCCTCAATCTGAGGGGGCACCATCTAATCAGCTGCCAGTGCAGCTGGAATAAAAGCAGGCAGAAAAATAGTGGAAAGAACAGACTTGCTGAGGCTTCCAGCCTTCATCTTTCTCCTGTACTGGATGCCTTCTGCCTTCAAACATTGGACTCCAAGTTCTTCAACTTTTGGATTCTTGGACTTACACCAGTCATTTGCCAGTGGCTCTAGGGCCTTCAGCCACAGACTGAAGGTTGCACTGTTGGCTTCCCTACTTTTAAGGTTTTGGGACCGAGACTGCCTTCCTGGTTCCTAAGCTTGCAGACGCCTATGTGGGACTTCACCTTGTGATCGTGTGAGTCAATACTCCTAATAAACTCCCCTTTATATATACATATATCCTATTAGTTTTGCCCCTTTAGAGAACCCTGACCAATATATATAACCAGAAATTTTAGTCTAAATGTGTTTCACTATTGAACTTAAGAGTATGCTGCATTTAAGAAGACCACAAAATAAACTTTCAGAATTAATAATCTCATGTGTAAAGTGCTTTTCTGGTTGTGTCAGAAGTGATTTTAATTATGTTTATGTACATAGTAGCTGTTAGGTCAATTAATAGAGATTTTATTTTATCTCTTTATGTCAAATAACAGTAATAAAAAATAAGGATTTATACAATGAGACTAGGAAGAAAACAGTGTGATATAAAGGTGAGAGACAGCACTGTCAAATCAGTTGGTTTTATTTCCTTCTCAGAAAATTACCTGTGTGACTGCAGATAAGTTCTTTAACATTTCTGAATTTTGACATAATTGTACTCAAAGTGCCTAGCACAAAATCATAAGGCAATGGAATTGTTATTGTTCTTTTATGAAAATTTATGACATAATATAAAAGTTTCTCTATCTCTCTCCAATTGATATGCTGTCTTCCAGATCAAAATAGATTGGAAAGGTTTGGGTTTTCCTTGAGAAATGACATAAATAATTTAGGTTACCAACCCAAGCTGAATTCCAGTGATGCCCAAAATGTCACGAAAGCCTAATCCAAACGACTTAAGCGTATAGCTAATTTTTACAGGGTTAGATCAATATTAAAATGGACTTTTTGGTCATTTAGTATGTTTAAGCCACTGAATAGGGAAGCCTTTCTTTTTGTCCTGCATTACTAGTCTAGTCCTTGTTAAATCAAATTCTTGATGAGTTTATTCTGATTATTTGACAAATGTAAAATAATTAGTTAAAAATTAATAGATTTAATTTCAACCTTGTGAACTTAAAATTTATCTATGACATAAAAAAATGTGTTGCCGTAATAACAACCTATTATACGGTTCTTAGGTTAAACCATATAAAATTGCTGCTACTTGATCATTTGCAGTAATAATAAAAATAATTTCATGTTCATCTAATCAAAGATAATAGATTATTGTAAAAAGGATTAAAAAATTTCAAAAGGGGTGTTGCTTTCAGAATCATGGAAAACAATCATTTTATTCTAGCTGCATTTGAAGAAATTATATTCTGGCATATCAGACATAATATGCAATATTTGGCTTTGTTACCTTGCTGCTCAAATTGGCATTATTTAAATACACTTTTTTTTAAAAGCACCTTTTCCTGGAAAGATCTTGACACTCAATGGCATAACATCTCCAAGTTTCAGGCTGTCAGACAGTCACTTTGGCACTGTCAAGCAAAAGGCTAATGAGTCTGAGATGGTCCTAAAATAAGGACTAAAACATTTGGAAGGCCTGGCAGATAGCATTAAATAAATGGGAAATAATCAGCTTTAGAGCAGTTGATTAGGAAAGAGGGCAAATTTTACTTGCAAATTGGACATAGTTGGCAGGTTAACCTGAGCAGGTCTCAGTGCTATTGAAATCTCATAATGGCGCTTTGTGAATCCTTGCTCTTAAGCTTTGACATTTTATAATTAAGTTACTTAGTGTATTGTTTCTTTTGTGGGTGATGGGCTGTTTAATAGAGAAAAATCTTTATAAACTGCTAAAATGCATTTAGTCTATTAATTTAAATAAGTATCATTTGCCTAAAATGAAATCAGCAAATTATCTTTCGATTTACTCTTTTCCAGCCAGCACCACTTCTATCAAGTTGCCTTTTATTTTTTTCTTAATTCAACAGTTTGGGAAATGATTACCATTGGACATCCCTATTTAATTCCTCCAAAACATGAGCGCTTGAATGGATTTGTAGTGGGTTGCATTAAACTGTTTTTGTTATGATGTTTTATTTTGAAATTTTAACTGACAGAGAAAATGCTGAATATATTTGTGAAAAAATACATGTATCCAAATTGCTAGAAGAAAAGCTCTTATCCTTATGCCTTATATAAAACTGATGCATTAAAACTAGAGGAAAATTATTTAATATATATTTCATTTATATAATATTAGTTATCCAATTTATTGCCTACGAGAAAACTTATATAATGATTAAGAAAAATCTCACAAACTAAAAATGAAAATTTTCTTATAATATTGTATATAATTAAATTGAGATATGACATTATTTTAGGATTTTCTTTGATATGTTATGAGTAAGGTAACTCAGAAATAACTTGCGTCAGTTCTACTCCTGTAATTATGTGGAATTATGTTAATTAGACTAACCAAAATGTGTTAAACATTAGTGATTAATGATAAGAAAAATTGTGAAAAGTCTAACAAAATTCTAAACTGATCTTGACTGAATATTTTTGCACCAAATGAAAGGAGTTATGCCAATAAATGGAACAATTACATGCTAATAAAAATAGCAATAATGATACATATAAAGATCAAGATTTAGATTCTACTAAAAATTTCAAGCCATTGATATCTCTACATCAGAGATAACAAAGTAATACTATATAGCATATTATCCTTTAATTAACCACTTTGCAGTTTTCAAGGTATTTATATTTATTGTCTCATTTGTTCCTCATGAGAACCCTATGGCAATGCTGACTGTGCTGGAAACCAAATCTAAGAGATGGGACATCAAACTTCTGTGTTTTGCAATAATAGAATAGGTTATTCTTCTTAATTATTAATGAAAACTCTATTAGCACAGATGATACTGTTATGTTTTGAATACATCCACCAAAAAAACAGGTGTTGGAAACTTAATCCCTTATGTCACAGTGTTGAGAGGCCGGGCCTAATGAGGTGATCAGGCCATGAGGATGGAAGTAACAGATTAATGCTATTATTGCAGGAGTGGATTTCTTATAAAATGACAAGTTTGACTCCCTCTTGCTCTTTTGCTCTTTCTCACCCTCCCCTTCCATCTTCTGTCATGGTTCAAGAAGAACCTTGACAGATTCTGTTCCCTTGTTCTTGCACTATTTTCCCCCAGTCTCAGGTATTCTGTTATAATAGCACAAAATGGACTAACACAAATGTCAATATCATATTTATAAACTAATGATGTCAACAAGGTGATATTCTAGATTTGATTATAGAGTAAGATCTAAGCCAGATAATTATTGGCTCTCTCCCCTCTAAAAGGTCAAATTATTTTCTCTGTGAAAATCTGGGCATTCTAGGCTGCAGCTTCTTCTCTCTGAGACTCTCCACTGCTTTGAAGAGCCATTCACTTTGCCATCCCTCTCACTTGCTTAAATGCCACAAGCTGATTATTTTATAAATGTGCCTAAGATGGGAAAATTAGGCTTTCCACTAGCTAGCAGATTATTTGAAAATTGAAGTGCAGTCTTACAAATCTTAAAAACTTAGGAAAATTTTCTGAGTAAAAAAATAATGCTTAGCTTTCTTGCCCAGACGAAAATAATTGCTTTTACAAAAAGATTGTTTTCTGTATCTCAACCTTTATTATCATTTATTCATGTCAGTTAATAATTTATTGTATGATTTTTATGTTCTCCAAACAAGAGAACTAAATGATTGATAATGTTTGTTCATTTAAAACATTAACTACTTGAAATCGTAAGGACATATAATCTCTGCATTCTTGAGCAAAGAGGGAAAAATCTCAAATACATTAAATTAATATATTCTGTTATCTATCAGCTACGCTTATTGTAAGTTCCTTTGTCATCTGTCATATAAAAATTTTTGAAGCAGTAAATACAAAATTGCTTTCCTTCTGGCTTTAAGTGTTCTGGTAAGACTTTTCAAGTCGGTCATTTTTATTAGTGACAGGCCAACAAAATTTAATAATTTTATGCTAAAAACAATATAAAATAAGAAAAATTTTATGCTAAAGACAATATAAAATAAGAAAAATTATTGAACAAACTTATTCATAGTTTTATCAATAAGCATATTTTTATTTGCCATACCACAATGAAAATGGTACAGAATTGTCTTAAAAAAGACTAAATTAAGATTATTTTTGCTAGAATATTATTTGAATATGTAATAGAAAAATATTGTATTTATACCATTTATTATATTAAATTGATATGTAAATGTATAAATTCTTTTATTTCCAGATGAGAAGACAGACCAAATAAGCACACAAAATATAAAAATATGTGAGATAATAATGGATATTAAAAGATGTGCCAAAATAAATACAGATCAACTAATCAACAACACTGATTTATCCTCAATTTTATGTAAGTTATTGAGGTCAGTACTATATTAGGAAATACAAAATTAGAAAAGCCTTGATTTTTTTTCTTACAAAGATAGCAAACCAGTTTTGTTCTACCTGTGTGACTCAAAAATACTTGGAAAGACAATTGCACACAGTGCTCTCTGAATAATAATATTACAGTGGCAAAAAGTAGTGCAGTTTCAGAGGGTGCATAGACTCAATTTCTCATCAGGACATACCTGAAGAATACGGTATTCTTCTTCTTAAAATGAAAAACTTTTAGAATTTTTGTATTTGAAGTTGATTTTTTCAAAGGAGGGTCTGCCCATACAGATCATCTAAATTTGCATCATAGTTTCATATGAGTAAAATTCTAAGACACTAATGAGATTATTGTTGAAGAATGTACTTCTTCTCATATGCTGATACACAGATCTGAAGGTTACAATAGTTCTATAAATGTACACTGTATCTGGGATATTTTAACCTGGTTTAAAAGTTATTTCTAGTCATCTAAATGGTTTCTACCATCTATCATCTTTTCAAAATCAATTCTATGACATGATGTATTAAAATAAGATCTCTGAAATAAACGTAGAATAAAATCAAACAGCAATTTTTACTAGAACTCAGTGTTTCTAAGTGGAAACAAGTCAAAGCCTGTTGAAGCACATAGTATCCAAGTATATGCTACCTCAAATACAAACATAAGCTGAATATGAACAAAGTGAACATAGGGAATACTCCACGTAATGCTATGAAATACTCAATGGCTTCTGGGAAGGGAGACTTATTTAGTCTGCAGACATTTTCACTGGAGTAATTTAGAAAAAATGGGCAATGTACTCTGGGAGACTGCCTACATATATAACCATAAACGATAGAACAACCACTCATAACCGAGATGGTTAAGAAGGCAGATGCACTTTTTTTCATATTAATGTGCAGAAGTTAAATAAATGGCCATTTTTACAATGTGTGAATATTAAAAGCATATATATTCTATTGTTTATTCTCATTATAAGATTGGATAACATGTAAAATAGTCATTGATTCATGCTACTGTGAAAAATAGTCTTGGGAAAAACCACTTTCCAGAATGAGTTTCATTTTCCAAATATCAAATATAAAGATGTCTAATTTCTCAGAAGTATTAAATAGTAACATAATTGTAACTGCTAAGATAGTTCAATATTTAAATATTATAAATCATTTTCATTGGAATATCAAAAAAGTTAAAAAATATCAGCTCTTTCACATCAGATGGAAAATTTAAAAAGCATCAAACTTCTGCCTCCAAATATGCTTTTTACAACTTCTTTCAAGATCTAATTATGACAATTGTGCATAATATGAGGTAAACTTCAATCGGCTCCACATTTCCATATCAAATGACTTTAATAATATCTATAAAACATTAAGTAGGTCAATGCCACATAAACATATTAATATAAAGATGGCTTTCATTTCAGAGGGCCCTCTAATATACTTCAGGAAAAATAAAACAAAAAACATATAGTGAATTGCCAACTTTCTCTTTAGATCACCATCAACACAATACATACCTTTAGAAGATATGAAATACAAACATTAAAAAAAAGTATAGTCTGACATCCATTAATGTCATCCATAGTGTCATCTAGTTGAACATAAGACCTTAGATGCTGCATTTCTATTACCATGAATTTGTACAGTAGGTTTTGTACATAAGTGGTTAGTCAAAAGCGTTAGGTGATATAACTCTACAAATGGCAAAAGTTCTTGTAATTTTAATCAACTTGAGTACTTTCTTAGAATCTTTTTTAGTTTGTCACATGTATTGAAACACAGAGAAGTAAAGTGCCTTGCCAAAGTTCCAACCGTGTGTGCTGTTTACATTTTTCCACGTACTTCATCTTTGAGTCACAAGCAAGTCAATTTATGGAAAGGCTGTAGGGTAAACAGCAATTTGTCCAAGATGCTAGAGACATATATGTTTTTCTTTTCTAGCTTTTTAACTCTTTCATTCATCACATATTTATTGCATACTAAAATTTTTGAAGGCCAATGTCTTAATTAGGATAACAGAATATAACTTATATTTGCTCTCTGTGAATAAAGTGGCAATTACAGTGCAATATAAATTGTATGGTAATAGAAGTGTTCTGAAAGCTCTAAGGAATTCTCTCTGATCCAGACTAAATGGTGAAATGAAGAAAAATGTTTTATGACATGGATCTGTGTGTGTTTTCCCCAAGATGTTTATTTTTTATAGTTCACATCTATAATCCTAACATGTGGTAGCTCTGTTTGTTAGGAGATAGATATAATGGGATGGGAACTACTCAATCCTCTTACCATTAAGTCACTGACTTCTCTGCTTCTGCACTCACTTAGTTTGCATCTCCTACTGTAATAGTAGTAGTTATCTGTCTTTCGCTGAAAGTATGCCCTCCATCTAATCTCTGGATTTCACCCTAACTCAGCTACTTCAGATATCATCCAAACATCTCCAAACATCTCCTGCACCTTCTATTACTAACAAAAAAATTTCATTAACATGGAAATGTGTTAATCCTATTCAGCCTGGAAAGGAAACAACAAAAAATATTATATTGATCCTACTATCCCCTATATTCCACTCAAACCCAATTTTTCTGCTCTCTATTCAAGAATCAGGGCGCTATTCCACAAAATAGTTCACATACCGCGTTTTCCTCTAACTTCTCCGCCTTCCCTCCTAAATCCACTTTAGTTGGGGTTCTCACTTAAATATCAGCAGCCTCTTTGTGAAATCCAATAGTCAGTTTTTTGTTTTCATCTTGCTGGACCTTCCTTCAGCATTTGGCTGTTGACCACTTTCCTTAGGTTCCTGTGGAATCTCACCCTTGTGTTTATCTCTTTTCTCTGGCTTTTTTTGCTACTTTCTCCATCCTTACCTTGTATTTTCATAACGCTAAATAGCATATGCATGCAGATGTCTGCTACATTTTCATTTCCAGCCCTCTTTTCCCTCCTGAGCGTTTCTCAATATCTTCATTCGGTCATCTAATCAGCTGCTCAAACTGACCTTCAGCATAGAATTATTGGAATCTTCCTTTTCCTAGATACTGAGAATAAGAATGTTAAGAATCTTAGGTTTGCCAGATAAAATTCAGGGAACCCAGGTAAATTTGAATTTCACATTACAAATATATATTAGCATGTGTTTATCCCGTATTTCTAGTATAGGTATGTTCCATTGAAAAATGTTATTTGATACTAGAAAAATCAGATTTGATTCCCTCTCGTCATATTTGCTAAATCTGCCCTCCATAGCTGAAGGGATATTTGTCTCTACATCAATCCTAATATCTCTCCTAACTTAGTCTGGAATCTCATATCTTCCCATCAGCTACACTGTGAAATAACCAAGTACAAACCCTCTAAATCTCTGCTTAAAGCCCTGGCTTTCTCTCAGGATTATAACAAACTGCAAACAACTAATATTTAAATTGCCAGTGCCCCACCTGATCTGATTCCTGACTGCCTCTCTCATGTCAGCTCTTATCACTTTTTTCCCGTGTTCATGAAACTCTAGCCAATATTTCTTGTTTCTATGCTTTAAACACACAACTCATATCTTTCTCTTAGGACTTTTGTACTTGCAATTCTTTCTGCTAGAAATATTTGCATTTTTCATCTGACTTTTAAGTTTCAGTGTTATGCAGAGAGTTTTGTTACCATGCTGAAAATTAGCTCTCATGCTACAGCTCCTAAACTCTCTATCCTATTGATTTATTTTTATATCAAGAGTTATTTAAAATTGCCACATTTCCTTATTTTCTTATGTGTTCTTTTATTCTCTATATTATTGTATTAGAATATTAGCTCTATGTGGCCATTGCTGTATTTACTTCATTTACCTCTGTATTTCCAGAGCCTAGATGGTCACTGGTAAATACAGGGCATGTGATCAGCATTGATTAAAGAAATGGATGGTTTCTAAAACGAAATCGTTAAGCTAGATTTATTTAGTGTCAGATATAACTAATAGCAAAATATATTTAGACATCGATAACAGAATCTTAAGGAATACTAAGGTTATAATTAAAATGTCTTTTGTTATGATTTATCAAATAATAATTTTGTTAACATTATATAGATTGTTTAATAGATAACATATGTGTTCTTTCTAGACACAATGATATACAAACAATAACTTTTAAAAAAAGAAAAGTAACTATTCTTGCATAGTAAATCTGTTTAATAGGCAATAAATCTTAGAAATACTGCATGTGTTCTCTTTAATATTAACAAGAAAAGAGTCGTTTTTTTCTTTTCACATTCTATGGTATTGTAACAGAAAAGTAAGTATTAAAATTGTATTATAATTTAAAACAATAAAGAATACGTAAAAATAAAGAAAATAAACTGCATTTCACATTAATGAGCCAGCTTAGAATGTTTATAAAGTTTTATTTTAATCGAGTAATATTTTACCTGATAACCACACTGATATAATTAATTTAATACTTTTCTAATACAATTTAAAAGGTTTGATAGTTCCATGTGAAAGATTTTTCAGGATTTGAATAGTAGTATACAAATTTTAACTGACAGCTCTAGTCCAAAGACTTGAAATATTGGGTGGAAAGGTTCAATGTTCTTTCATAATCATCCCTTTCTCTGTCTTTCACATCACCCTATAACAAGAAGCCATATTTAAAACTTTGAAAGAAAAAAGTACAAAACTTGTCTCCTCACATTGTTTTATTCCTTAATTAGAAAGCTGACTGACAGTATCAATCTTATGTCAAACTTTAATACATACACATATTCCCTGACTAGTGGATTATAAAACTCTTCTGGTTTTCTTCAAGTTTTGGGTTGGCCAAGGCAAATTTTATTTCAGTTTGAGCAAATGAACCAATGTAAAGGTTGAAACTGGTAGGAAAACATTACTTCATTAAAAATTTTTATAGGAGTCATTTATGGAAGACCTATAATTGGGAAATCTTTATACATATGTATAGCAGGTCGGGTAGCTCATTTTTATTTTTGTATATTATCCTTTAAGAAAAGTCATTAGCATTCTTGAGAAATAACATTTCATCATGGGAAAAATTTTTCAGTATAAAAATCGGTGATTTTATGGGCAGCTTTGTGCCAGAACAATCAGCTAGATAGGAACACAAGATTTGCAACATATTCCTTTAAAAGCTTCATGCTTCCAAAGTTCTATATGTAGAGATTTGAGACCAATAGCAGAAAATATGAATACATATGTGAAGCCTAACTATGTATGAAATCCAGATGCAAAATTTCTGAAAGCAATCTAAAAAATGAACCTTCTTCAAATGTCTCTAAAACCTGAGGCTTTGATTGAAGACACTTCATGATTTAATATCTTGTTGGTACGTATGATTCAATTTTTTTGCTAAAAACTAACTTCTGAATAATTTTACTGTGTATAGAACATTAATATTGCTGAGAAAACCTAATAACTTAAAATTCCCAGGGATATTTGTAAAAATATGTTTAATTAAAAACATTTAAAAATTATATGATTTGGTGAAAATGCATAGAACCACATATACAGTAGTTGGATAATAATTGACAAAGTGTAACCTTATATTTTTATTACCTCTAGAATAATGAAATAGCTTGTTTGAATTAAGATCTTGCTCACAAAGTTTAATTTGTTTTATAGTATAAGTACTATGGTTTTAATGTCCCCCTCCAAAATTCATGCTGCAATTTAATTGCCATTGTGACAGTATTAAGAGATGGAACTTTTAAAAAGTGAATAGGTCAAGAGGGATCTACTTCATAAACGGATTAATGCTGTTATTGTGGCGTGTCTTCGTTATCACAGAAAAGGGCTCCTGATAAAGGGATAAATTTAACTCACATTTCTTCTCTGTTTCAAGGACTCTTATCTTCCCTGTCCCTCTTGCCATGTGAAACCGTCAGCCATTTTGATGACTGAGCAAAAAGGCCCTCATCAGATGCTGAGCAGATGCTGGTGCCATGCACTTGCACTTCCCAGACTCTAGAACTATATGCTACATAGATTTATGTTCTTTATAAATTACCAAGTATGTGGTATTGTGTTATAGAAAGAAAAAAACTAAGACATTAAGAATGGCACAAATTAAAATATTTTGCTTACAAAAATATCTATTTTGAAACTACTGAATAGATTTGATTGTCTAGGCTCTTAGAATGAAGAGATTTTAAAAGTATAAATAATATTTGTATTCTCTTGTATGCCTATTTTACTTCCCTTGATATGCAAAAATATGATTTAACATACTTAAAATTACCAACACATATAGGATAAGAATCTAACTCTCATTATTCAAACCGAAAAAACAAACATTTTCTTTTAAGCAAACTGATTCTCCTTCAAGTATACTGTCACAGAATTATTGAGATGTAAATATTTACTTTATATTAATTTTTATTATTTAATATTTATTATAGTACATGTGTAAAATTAAATATAGGTAAACATTTTAATATTCTGTGCTTACAATTAGGGAAGATTTCAATACATTATAATACACCTATAACATTTAACAATATATACCTATTAAGATAACTTTTCTTTTTGGAGACAGAGACTTTGAGCAATTCACCTGGTTTTGTGCACTTTGCATGGGAGAAGCAATGGCTAGTACTGTCCCTCTGGAGAACGCTGACTAATACACAGAGTCTCGCTCTGTCACCCAGGCTGGAGTGCAGTGGTGTGATCTCAGCTCGCTGCAACCTCTTCCTCCTGGGTTCAAGTGATTCTCCTTCTTCAGACTCCCAAGTAGCTGGGATTAGAAGTGTGCACTACCACACCTGGCTAATTTTTATATTTTTAGTAGAGATGTGGTTTCACTATATTGGCCAGGATGGTCTTGAACTCCTGGCCTCAAATGATCTGCCTGCCTCGCCATCCCAAAGTACTGGGAATATAGGCGTGAGCCACCGGGCCCAGACCCCATTAAGGTAATATTAAAACAATAAATCATATAATACCTTATTAAATAAAAAGAATAGGCTAAAATTGCATCTACAATAATATATATGTACAAATGTATCATTTATAAAATTACATTTAATATTATTAAACATGATAGGAAAATAGACCTATCTGTACAAACACACACACACATACACACACATAAACACAAGTGCATTTGTATATATGTACATGTAATGTTTAGAAAAAATATTTTAAAATTATATCAGGAGAAAGAATTGGCTTACTCACACATTCTTTCAAGGCCTGAGGACAGTCTACTCTACCTGCTGCCCTCAGTGCCGGTATACACTTCCCAGAGGTCCAGGGACTAGCCCATTCAGCCTGTGACCACTGGCACGCACTTGCACATGCCACCCAAGAACATGGAAATAAGCCTGCCCAGCCCACACTCACCAATGCTGGCACATATGTGTGCCTTTCAGGAGCCTGATGGTAGGCCTACTGCCATTACAGCCACTGTTCATGCCATAGACACTACCCAGGAGCTCAAACACCTGCATACTCAGCCTGCTGCTGCCACCACCAGCATTTGAACATGCTGCCTAGAGGTTCAAGAACAAACCTCTTGGGAAATTCCACAGATTTCACACATGTAGGCTGCCAGGGGCCTAAGGACCAACACACCTGAACTACCTCTTCCACCATTGATGTCTTAAGACCAGACCAGTAGAATAAAATAAAAAATACAATTGAAACATTCAACAATAAACTAAGTCAAGCAGAATAAATAATTTTTGAGCTTGATAACAAATCTTTTGAAATTACCAAGTCAGACAAAAATTAATAAATGAAGAAAGCCTGTATAACATGTTAGACTCCATAAAGTGACCAAATATTTGATTTTGGGAAGTTCCAGAAAGAAAAGAGATGAGCAAATGCATAGAAAACTGATTTGCCAAAATAATACCTGAAAAACTGCCAGGTCTTGCAAGACATATAGACATCCAGATACAGAAAGAAGAAAGAGTTGCAAATAGATTCAATCCAAATAGGTCTTCTCCAAAGCAGTTTACAGTCAAGCTGTCAAAAATCAGAGAAGATTCTAGAAAACAAGAGAAATGTATCAATTTACTTATAAGAGAATCCTCATTAGAACAACAGTACATTTCTTGGCAGAAACCTTATAGTCCAGAAGAGAAGGAGATGCTATATTCCAAGCACTAAAAGAAAAAAAAAATCTATGCCAAGCACACTATATCCAGCAAAGCTATTTTTTCAAAAATAAAGAAGAAACAAAGTATTTCCCAGATAAGAAAAATCTAGTGGAATTCATCACCACTACATTGGCTCCATGAGAAATGATTAAGGGAGTCTTACTTCTGGAAGCAAAAGGACAAAATCTACCATCAAGAAAACACACAAAAGTGTAAAACAGGTAGAACAGATACATAAATGAGAAAAACAATGGTGTCAAATGTTATCACTATAGAAAACGCCAAATTGAAAGGTAAACTTTCAAGAGAAAGAAAGCAACAAATGACATATAAAACAATCAGACATCAATTAACAAAATGACAGAAGTCCTCCCCTCTCAATAACTTTTAATGTAAACAGTTTAAATTCCCTAATTAAAACATAGAGATTGGCTGAACTTATAAAGAAACAAGACTTCACTACGTGTTGCCTACAAGAAATTTACTTCACCCATAAATGCACAGATAGACTGAAAGTGAAGACATGAAAAAAGACATTCTACACACAAAAGCATAGAGGAGTTGCTGCACCTGTATCAAGTAGACTCTAAGTTATAAAACAAAAAAAGAGAATGTCATTACATATTGACAAAAGGATCAATAAATCAAGAGGATATAAAAATTGTAAGTAAATATGCACCCAACACTCCATAAATATATGAAGCAAATATTACTAGTTCTAAAAAGAAAGACCACAATACAATAATAGTTGGGAGACTTTAACAGCTCCCTTTCAGCAAGGCACATATCATCTAGGCTGAAAATCAACAAAGAAACATCAGAGTTATCACACTACCTGACTTCAAATATACTACAAAGCCAGAGTAACTGAAGCGGTATAATATTAATATTAAAATAGACACACAGGCCAATAAAACAGAATAAAGAACCAAGAAATAAATGCCATAATATACACTGGGGAAAGTAGTCTCTTCAAAAAATGTCGTTGGGAAAACAGGATTTCCATATGCATAAGAATGAAACTAGCCTCCTATCTCTCACCATATTCAAAATGAAGAAACAAAGTATTTCTTTATTTCTCCAAAGTATTTCTAAACTCAAAATAGATCAATGACTTAAACATAAGGTCCCAAATTCTGAAACTACTAGAAGAAAACAGAGGAAACAGTTAAGGATATTGATCTAAGCAAACGTTTTATGGCTAAGAGTTCAAAACCACAGGCAACCAAAAGAAAAATAGATAAATGAAGTATATTAAAACAAAAAGCTTCTACACAGTAAAGGAAACAATCAACAGACTGAAAAAAAAACCTTCAAAATGGGAGCAAATATTCACAAACTATCCAGCAGACAACTAATATTCAGAATATAAAAGTAATGCAAACAACTCAAAAGCAAAAAATTAGTAATAATCTCATTAAAAACTAGGGAAAGGATCTTAGTAGATATTTTTCAAACACAGAAATAGAAATGGCCAACATACTTATTAAATTAGCTCACCGATACTAATCATCAGGGAAATGTTAATCAAAAACACAATGAGATATTATCTTATTTCAGTAAGAATGGCTATTGTTAAAAACACAAAAAGTTACATATTCTGGAAAGAATGTAGTGAAAAGTGAACTCTGGTGGGAGTGTAATTAGCATAGCCATTATGGAAAACCTTTTGGGGGTTTCTTTAAAAAGTAAAAGTAAAACCACTATGGGATCCTGCAGTCCCATTACTGGGTGTATATCCAAAGGAAAAGAAATGCGTATATCAAAATAATACCTCTACTCTTATGTTTACTGTATCACTATTTATAATAGCAAGATATAGAGTCAACCTATGAGTCTATCAGTGGAAGAATGGGTAAAGAAAATGTAGAATATATACTCAACGGAATACGATTCAGCCGTAAAACAGTGAAATTCTGTAATTTCCAGCATCTTGGATAAAACTGGAGGTCATTATGTTAAGTGAAATATGCCAGGCACAAAAAGACAAATATCACATATTCTCACTCTTATGTGGGAGCTAAACAAGTTTGATATCCTGAAGGTAGAGAGTAGAATGATGGTGACCAGAGTGATGGGTGGGGTGGGGATATGAAGAGGGATTAGTTAATTAGTATAAATACAGTCATATAAAAGGAATCATTTCTGGCCGGGTGCGGGTGGCTCACGCCTGTAATCCCAGCACTTTGGGAGGCCGAGGCTGGCGGATTACGAGGTCAGGAGATCGAGACCATTCTGGCTAACACGGTGAAACCCCGTCTCTACTAAAAATACAAAAAAATTTAGCCGGGCGTGGCGGTGGGCACCTGTAGTCCCAGCTACTCGGGAGGCTGAGGCAGAAGAATGGCGGGAACCTGGGAGGCGGAGCTTGCAGTGAGCCGAGATGGCGCCACTGCACTCCAGCCTGGGTGACAGAGCAAGACTCTGTCTCAAAAAAAAAAAAAAAAAAAAAAGGAATAATTTCTAGTGTTCAATAGCAGAGTAGGGTGATTTAGTTAAGAATTTGCTGTATATTTCAAAATAGCTAGAAAAGAAGGTGTGAAATGTTCCCAACACAAAAAAATTATGAATGTTTGAAGTAATTATATATTCCAATTGCCCTGATTTGATCATTACAGATTGTATGCATGTATTAAAATATGTGTATCATGATATTTTACAAGTATTACATAACAATTCAAAAACAACTATTAGGCCTGGCGGGGTGGCTCGCGCCGGTAATCCCAGCACTTTGGGAGGCGGAGGCGGGCAGACCACGAGATCAGGAGATGGAGACCATCCTGGCTAACACGGTGAAACCCCGGCTCTACTAAAAAATACAAAAAATTAGCCAGGCGTGGTGGTGGACGTCTGTAGTCCCAGCTACTCGGGAGGCTGAGTCAGGAGAATGGCATGAACCTGGGAGGCTGAACTTGCAGTGAGCCGAGATCGTGCCACTGCACTCCAGCCCGCGTGACAGAGCCAGACTCTGTCTCAAAAACAAAAACAAAAACAACAACAAAAAAATTACGTAACAATTCTAAAATCATACCAAAATGTTTTTTAAAGAAAAATAGCATCCAGTAATGTCACAACACTTTATTCTTTAAAATCTTTTCAATATGTGTATCAAATAATTCGAGAATAATGGAGTTACCTTTGAAAAATTATTGCATTTTTTCCTTAAAATACGTTGCAGCCTTCTCTGTGATTAAACACTACATAATATTTCTGGCTAAGTTTGACATAGAAGTAAAAAATAAAAAAGCCAAATGAAATAAATCCTTCCAAAGTAAAAAGTAACCCATGGAATTAAAAAATAAATGTTTTGAACAATGAGGCCAGGGAAAGAGTCTACTAGTAGGAAATGTCTCTAGGCATTGCCATATGAATAATGCAAATTCATTATTTCCAGCTTTAGGTTACCTTAGCTCAAGATCCAAATTCCCAGGATCAAGGGACACTAATTGTTCTTGCCTGCGTCCTGTACCCATCACTTTACCAGAGTGGGATAAGTACCTTGACTGGTAGTCTAGACAGACTGGTAAGGCATAGGGCATATAGCAGTGCCTCATGGAAAATTGTGCTGCAGTTAGCAAAAACATAGTAAAGGTATTATAGCAGGGCTGTCAAAATGACACCTATTTTGTACATGTAGAACTAGCATACCCACTCTAAGAAATGAGCTCTCTGATTTCTCAGTTTTACTTTCTAGCTTATCTGCAAACATGGGTTTCTTTGCTCAATAAGTTACACTGCAATTTGAATTTTGGAAGGTGGAATACTCACATTTCAGTCACAGAGTAGCAATTCAGCCTCCCAATGAAATCATTCAGAATATAAACAGGCACAAAACTTCAATGGTGAGCAATGCTATGTAAAACGGAGGAAGTTTAATATTATGTACATTATGTGACTTTATATTCAGAAAATTTATGATAAGCAAATGATACATGAATATTTTAAATACAATAAATTTAATAACAAACACAAAGCAAAATAATTTTTACATACACTCAATTACCAAGTGAGAATATATTATGTTAAACATTGTTTTCAAAATAGCAATAGACTACATAATTCAGTGAAAGAAAAAAAAAGTGTATGTAATATATTTTAACTCAAATTGTATTGGCACTATGCAGCTAAATACAATTCATACGCATTTAATACTTAAATATTTTAAAATAAAATTACAATAAAACTAAGATTATAATTGAAGGGAGTGAAACTTCTAGAGATAAATATAACAGAAAGGTATTAGTCTGTTCTCACTCTGCTAATAAAGCCACACCCAAGATGGGTAATTTTTAAAGAAAACAGATTTAATTGAGTCACAGTTCAGCATGACTGCGGATATCTCAGAAAACTTACTATCATGGCAGAAGGAGAAGCAAATATATCCTTCTTCACATGGTGGCAGCAAGGAGAAGTGCAGAGTGAAGGAGGAGAAAAGCCCCTTATGAAACAATCAGATCTCTTGGGAACTAACTGACTGTCGCCAGAACAGGATGGGGGAAACTGTTCCCATGATTCAGTTATCTTCACCTGGTGCCTTCCATGACATGTGGGGATTATGGAAACTACTCTTCAAAGTGAGATTTGGGTGAACACATAAGAAAATATTAGAAAAAATTATAGTTTTGATTCCACAAAATGGACGAATTTCTGTATATCAAATAATACTAAAAATATTTTTAGCATGTGAAAAAAATTCTATGTTATGCATTTTTTTTTTTGAGACGGAGTCTCGCTCTGTGGCCCAGGCTGGAGTGCAGTGGCAAGATCTCGGCTCACTGCAAGCTCCACCTCCTGGGTTCACGCCATTCTCCTGCCTCAGCCTCCCGAGTAGCTGGGACTACAGGCGCCCGCCACCACGCCTGCCTCATTTTTTCGTGTGTGTTTTTAGTAGAGACGGGGTTTCACCATGTTAGCCAGGATGGTCTCCATCTCCTGACCTCGTGATCCGCCCACCTCAGTCTCCCAAAGTGCTGGGATTACAGTCGCGAGCCACCGCATTCGGCCTGAAAAATTTTTAAACAGGCATTTTGAAGATATGCAATACCACGGAAAAATTTTTAATAATTTAATTTGAAATTTAAAAAAATCCTTAACATATGGAAAAATAGATGGAAGAAAATGCTGAAAATTCATAATTTTCTTACTACTTTTATGCATTATTCTCATATTTTATAATGAATACATTGTAGTAAAACCTAACTAATAACATCAAATCACATAAAAAATCAGCCAACTCTTTTATAAAGCAATATTTTCTTTCTCTACGAGGCAATTAATATACTTTAAAAAATGTTTCTCACGTTATTCAGAGAAAAGCTTCTTGAGAAGGAACTGTTGTTGAAAGATTAGAAATGTCAGTACTAAAGTCAGGGGTGAACAAGCATTAAACCAATGTTGATGAAAGGAAATGAAGCTCTTTCTATGACACATGTCAACAGAAATGGTCACCAATGACATGGATTTATCCTATGTATTTGTTACAGTAAAACTGTAAATTCCAAGGAGGTGGAAATGTATAGGTGTCCTGAGGTGAATTTATATTTTCCTAGTCAGCTTTTCGGAGAAGTTATGATTCATCCATCGTCTTGGTGTATTATGAACTGGTAGAATTTTGGACTGGTATTTCTCATGCAAATAAAGGGACTGCTCCAGAATTTTGTAAGTAACACTTGCATCCAAGTGCATCATGAAGCATTTAGAGCCATGCACAGGGAATCAATTGTCCAGTGAGCACATCTGGTGAGCGGCTACAAATATAACAGAAGAATGAGCTGAAAGGGTCAGAAAAACTCTTCCAACAGGTGTTGGCTCATAATTTTGTCTCCCAGGTAATAGGGAAATAAATGATTGAATTAAAGGCTAAGATGCAAATGCCTTTACCGCCATAGAGCTAGAAAAACTGTATTATTAACAGGTTTTCCTTGCCTTCTGTTAGTGTTTTTAAATGGGTCCTCAGAAGACTGATTTCAATAACTCAACAGACATTTAAAAGTAAGTTCCAAGTGATTATGTTTGTTGTTTGCGTGATCCTTTGTTCTCGGGAATTCTTAAAAATAGATTAGCTGATGAATGAGTAGTTATTGGAGCAGTAATTTTTAACTTTATGTTAAGAATATCAGTGATAAAACAACTATTTAAAGAGTACATATTTTCTTGCTATTGAAAGATTCAATTGAAGTAATAAACAAATGACTTTTTTCTTAGATTTCAGAGAAAAGCACCCCTGAAAATTGAAAATATAAAGATACAATTAAAAACTTAGCCTGAGCAGTGGCTGGTATGGATCTTTAAAAAGTGTAGCTCCTGGGCATTTATTCATTTGTTTCTTTACTCAGCAATTGTTAATTAAGTACTTACTATACGGTAGCAATATCTGCCCTAGACACTCAAGACTGAATGTAAAGCAAAACATTGTATTCTAACCTTCATGCAAGTTATAGGTAAACAGATTCCATTATGTCACTTTTTAATTCCTACCTCTTACATTTTTTTCACATATACTTTTTTCTTTTGATTTATCTCTCCAAAATCCACATTGTGATATGAAGTATTTATTTGAGACTTTGAATAACTTTTGATTCTAGGGTATATAGTCTAGATTTACAAGTGTCAGAAAATCATCCTGCAAGAATCAACACGTATATGAAAATTTTCCTAAATGGGGAACTATCCTCACACACTTAACAAATACAAGTAGCCTACATCTGTACGGTAGAAGACCCATTTATTCACTCCAGTTATCATACTGATGTGAGTTACCTGTAAGATATTTAGAAGTAAGTGGATGAACTTGCAAATGAAGACATGTTAGCTTTTGAGGACCATTTGCATAAGCTTAGTCATGGAAAGAATGAGCTTAAAGAGGTTAAAGTGTAAGACATAGTATCTGATAGGCATTTATATTATTTATTCCACTTATGTTCAGAACTACTAGGCTGTCCGCGAGTAGAGTTTATTCGTTGCTTTTGGCTTGACATGTACTCAGTGATCATAGCTACACGATTTATTTCTAACATAGAATGAAGAATCCCATGGGCATGTTGCTCTGTATTATTTCTCAAAAATAATAGTTACCCATACTAAATATATATATATTCTAATATACAGAACATATATATTTTCAAGTAGCATTTTACAAAAACTTTATCAGATTTTGATGTCTAAACTTGTAGGAGAAAAACTGAGCCTACAAATTTTAATTGTTTAAAAAATGCAGACATTTTAATTGAAGCTCTTTTTCTCATTTAATTGATGGATGAAGGAGAGTTTGACAGTCATTTTATATGTGGTCTTTCTTAAGTAAATTATACTACAGGTTTTCTTCCTGATTCTTGTTTATAAATTGTCTTGTTTGATTATTTTACTTCCTGTTACTCATAAATTATAATCTCTCCTTGCATTTCAGGAAAAGGCAAGTAGAGCATATGCCAATCCACTTCTTTCCAATATACAGGAAGATGATAGACGTTTTTTCTGTATAACTTGAATAACCAGAAATAATAATAAGAAAGGGAGAAGGGATGGCTATTCACCATTATTTGAATTACTGTCACTGCATGTAAAAAATGTTATTTTCAGTAAGCCTTCTAAGGCCATGAAAATAAAAGAGGTGGGAAGACAATATTGATATGGCAAATTGCCCTTTATTCAAAGATGCTTTTTAATATGAATGTGGCTTTATAATCTGTCAAATAAAGATGGCACACAGAGATAAAAATAAAATGTCAGAACAAAAATGTTCTTTTCTTTCCTGTGAATAAATTTACACGTCAGTCAAGTATCTGTCAGTGCATCTGCTGAATGAATGGCATGTCTTAAGTAAGTAAAAGCAAAAGGAGAGTAGCTAACAAGAATAACTAAAAGGAGAGGTGGTGAAATTGACGGCCTTGATGAGGGAGGATTCCTCTCTACCCACAGAATGTATTCGGTTAGAATAATGCCTCCAAGCAAGTAAAGAAATGGTTGACAAACTACCAATTATGATGGGGGGAAATGTAAACAGGAATGTGAATTGGGACGTTTGGGTGGCTCTGATGAAGGATTCAAGAATACGTGGTAGGATTACCTTTCTACCTATGGGCTAGTGATTCATTAACATGTCATTAATATTCATTAATATTGCTATTTTTATGATGCTACTTTTCTTTGAGTAGGATGAGAGAGTGCCTTAATTTTACTTGCTTAAGAAAGATTTTGTAAAGCCATTTTAGAGAAGGTTAACATGACTCTCATGTAAAAAGAAGGGCTATTTGGGAGTAACCATAGATGAGATTGGTTCTCTTTTAAAGGTATATTGAGAGTTCTATAATTTGCAAATTCCCAGAACTTCTGTAATAACATAACAATTTCACTGTAATTTAAGAGGTTGCACAATTTTATTACTGTGTTTAAGTTTAAAGTGGTTGTTTTTCTCTACATGTAGTTCAAGGTGACAATTTTTTTCTTTTATAAGAAATGTTTAATTTGAAATTTACAGGTGAAATACAGGTTTACAACATTATGTACTTTATTGTTACATTTAAAAATGATTCCTTATTGCAATTCAGAATGCATTATTATATCACAAAGCTTTATTCCAGTAATATTTACATTTGAAATATTGCTATCTTTAGTTAACTCATTGGTGCTTAGCATGTATCAAGATCTGTCTAGAATGTTGCAGAATTGTCTTATTTAACTTAACTTAAAACACTAGTTAGGAAAATTTGAAGTTAATGTTATTTTCCTTTATTGAAGTGTTTTATAAAAATTAATGCCTGCTTCTTATTTTAATTTTAATATTTTGTCTTAATTATTTTTTAAAAAAATCAATTGATGGTTGGAGAGATGTTTTAATTCATTGCATCCTTAGCAGTCAGCACAATAATTTGCAGATTATGTGGGTAGTGAGAAAGTTATTTGAATAAATAATGTTATTTACCTCTTTACTTTCCTGTTAAAGCACCTGAAATGGATAATGTGCTTTTGGCCACAATTAACACAAATATGAATCATAAGTAACTTTAACAATAAGACAATTTCATTTTCTCACATAACAAAAAGTTTACAATTTCAGACTCAGTTAACTGAGCAGTTTTACAACATTATCAAATCCCCCAATTTTCATTTTTTCCAAAATTTCTCTTCTGCCATCCTCAGTGTGTAGCCTAAATAGGGTCAAATCAAACCTCATATCTTCTATATCATTTCCAGGACCTAGAAGATGTCCCTTTACAATTCTTTTACCAGAAATGTACCACATCCTCATTTTTATGTGGTATTCATAATTTACCTATTTTGGTTTAAAGTAATCAAAATTTATTCCTGGAGGTCAGGAGTTTTCTTGAAGTGCATGGACACTTGGCATATAAAATGTATTTTTTGCTAGTACAGAAGAAAATAGAATGGAAAGCTGCTTGGAAAGTAATCAACCTTGTATGATACAAAGTATTACCAAATAAGCATTGGTAAAAGCATGTGACATTCTGTTATTTTTTTCTTCTGAAGGTAACTCTACTAAGAGATGACATTTTGCTTCGGAGTTAATCTAGAGAAAATACTACTACCATAATTTTATGCCTCATTTTTCAATAAAACATGTAATAAAAACAAAATGAATTTTACTATATAAATTAAATGCAATGAAATAAAAACATTTAATTATCTAAACTGTTATAAATATATATTTTGAATTTGCTAATCTTAGTTGAGATGATAAAAGTGATTTCTTGAGAACTGAACATATTTTCATGTTGGTAATCATCTACCAATATACATGTTCTTTATATTTTGCTTTGAAATCTAAATTAGAGCCCAACTGTATATTTTCTCACTTTATTACTTTGAGTTGCTATTCTATTACTTTTGAAATAATGTTTATATATTTTTTATAATGGAAAACAAAGGTACCTTAAAAATTGTGTACAATTTCTCTTTTTCTGAAGTGTCAAAATGAGAATTAAAGAGAGGAAAGATGTTAAGTATTACTATCTTTCATGAATGAAAGATATCTATTATGAATTTTTTGACACTGTATTAACATTAAGAATGGAAAGAGCTGTATATTTTGGTATATTTCAACAGGTTAGGTGCAGCAGAAGTAACAACTAGTTTTTTTTTTTTTTTTTTAAGTAACAACCAGCAGACCTTGTTCAACGCATGTATATTTTTCAGCTTAAATTGTCAGGGCAAAGGTGCAACAACTGATATGAATTTCAAAAAGTAATATGAATCAACCAGATACTAATACTAACAGGTTTCTTTGCTTCATTTAGATTGTAATGTAAGTTCACAGTAATTTCTCATAATTACTGTTGGTAAGTGAGCATATCTCACAATATTTATGATTGGTAACCTATGACACTGAGTGCTGAGTACTTGCTATTCCCATGCCCTAGATATAACTGATTTTTAATCTACAAAATACAATTAAAGGTAGAAAATTGCATCCTCATGTCGGAATTGAAAACAAAACTTAGAAAGTAAATAGCACAACAAAATTTGAACATAGATCTACCTGAAGCCTGAGCTTTTCTCCATTCTTTTTTTTCTGCCTATCTTTCCTTCCTTCTCTCTCTCTTTTTTGTACTTCATCACACGATTATTCCCAGAAATATGTTTGCCCTGCCTTATTTTACATGCCCTTTGGGTAAAACCAGGGATGATTGTACCTTGGGTGATAAAAGAAGAGTAGCAAATCTTATACTCAAACTGTCAATGTTCAAAGATGTTTGCGTTTAACTTGTCAATTGGGAAACCTTGCACTGCCTTAACCAAGTGATCTGTGGTAACGTCCCTGGGAAGGAAACAATCAGCCTCATGTGCCTCCTGAGATGATGCAGTGAGAAGAACATAATATTATTTCTTAGTATTTCTGCCAACACTGTATACCCTGAATCCAATCACGATGAAACATCAGACAAACCCAAATTGACTGGCATTCTACCAACTGTGCACTTTGAAAATGTCAATGTTATAAAACATAATTAAAAACTAAGAGACGATTCCAGATTAAAAGACTAAAGAGATATCATGACTGAGTAAAATACATAATCCTGCATTTTTTTGTTCTAAAGGACATTATTGGGATAATTGGTAAAATCTGAATAAAGTCTGCATATTAGACAGTAATACTATATTGAGATTAATTTCCTAAAATTATTGCTTGTTATGTGATAATGTAAAAGAACATGTGGGCTTTTAGGTAATATGCACTGAATTCTTTAATATGAAGGAACATCATATCTTCAACTTATTCTGAAATATAGTAAAATGTAAACATTTGGGTAAGAAATTAAGAAAATGTTTTGTACTAGTCTTACATCTTTTCTATAAATCTGATTTTATGTCAAAAATAAGAGTTATAAAAAAATAAATGTATAGTGGTCACTTTTTTTCATCCTTTAAAAGATAGATACTTTTTTCTGATCTCAAAGTTTTAAACATCAAATATAAAGGGAAATGAAGTTACAAACCAAAAGCTTTTTTGTTAATGTATAATATGCATTATTATTTTATAACCTTCAATTTTTTTCTCTCCTACCTAATTTGTACACATGCTTCTGACATTGGTAGGCATATTTTAACCTCAGTGGAAAATCTCAAGAGGCTGAAGAGATGGCTGTCCTATCCAAAGCAACATGGCAACTGATTTTACACAAAACTGAATTGCTTTGTTCCAAGTAATCAAATCCCATTGCTCTGAAAGGAAATCAAGGATATAATGAAATGCCATGGACTTATTCTGAAAAATGTGAGCCCAAGTGTAACCTAAAAATATGCACATCCATAAACTGTCCTAGCACAGATGTATTTTTCAAATTGCATTTTAAACCTAGAAAGACTGACATTAAAACCATTACAAGACAAAACATTTATTGTAAATGTTTGAAAAAACAAAATAAAATTATGTCATGCATGATTTAAGAAGGCACCATCCACTCTACTGAGGCAAGTAATTTATGTGAAAAATTAGATTTTAAGCTAACATATTATATCTTTCTTACATATTCAGTATCTCCATGTAGTTATACATATGCCTACTGAGTCATACTTCCATGAAAATAAAATACGCTTACCAAAGGAATAGACCGTTACATAAATTAAGGAGGAGGAGACCAAGAAGCTTAACTAATTCTTGCCTTACAGGGGGTGTTTCAAGACTCACATTGTACTTGGTAGCCTTTGATCTCCGATGAAATTTATATTCATGGCAGTCTAACACAGAGAAAAGTGAATAAAGTGAAAACATAAAGGACAATGGCCCAGGGGAAGCATAAAGATACAGTTGTATTTTAATATCATTTTTCTACATAACAACAGTAATAATGTCTTGGATTTCAATTTCTTTTTGCATTCAAGTGCCTCAAAGAACTTACTAAAGTCAAAGATGCCTGCCAGCCATGCAAGTTAGTCAAGTATTATTACCTGTTTTGTAGGAAGGTAAATAAAAATACAGCAAAATATAAAGATAATTCCAAAGCAAAATAAGTTGCACATATTTTATTCACATCAAGTTAAGTCCAAAGGGCAGATGGCTAGAGAAACGATACAGTGAGAATCTGCTGGAGGAAGAAAAACGTCTCTTAGGTTGGATAAACGATGCAACAGATATGTTTTGTTATTAAGTAACAGAGAAGAAAATATCACATACCACAGACAACTGTTTCTAGAATCTTTAAATAATTAAAGCAGCCTAGTGATACTACTGAAACTGTTACAGAATTGGCCATAGAGAAATTGTGTTTGCTTTGTTTCTTTAAACAAGAAATAGATGGTAGCTAAGATGGTGAAGAAAAGAAATATGTTGACACTACTTTGTGCTACATGTCAAAAAAATCGTACTTAAAATCCAAGTAAAATGCCAAAAATAGACGTAAATATTCATTAAAAAAATTGAATGCTGGAACAAGAGTGAAATGTTCCAAATAAATATAATATTACAGGCCAGGACTTAGAATCGGCAGGTTAACAACTGAAAGAAAATGACAATAATTAAAATGAGACTTACAGATAAAAATTAATCTGATTAATTCAAGAAATTCTGCATTGTGATTTGTACTCCATGTAAAGTTCACTTGCACAGACATCTTCTCAACCCACTGAAAGCTTCAGTCATGCCTACAAAAAATACTGTAGTTAGAAAATACCAAAACAAAAACAGTCACAAGTTTATAAAGAAGAACAGAGAAGTATAAGATTTATGAAATTTCATACGTAAAATATTTAAAGAGCATTTTTGATATTATAAACTAATAGGAGGAATGGAGATGTTGTGCCAGGTCTTGATTTTTAAAAAATATATTTATTAGCAAGGCTATGTTCCACTATTAGCACTTAGATTTCAAAAACAAAATTTTCATAAAAATCAAAAATACTATTTAGCCTTTGAAGTCATGAGTAAATTTTTAAAAATGCCTACAATGAATCTTCTATTTAGAGTATAAATTATCCATAACATGTTCTTCTTGATAACATTTATGAACATGATTTCCTGAAGATATGTAATGATTAAGAAGAAAAGCTTCCATTTGTGCTTATTGCTTATTTTATCAGAAACCCTGCTCTCTCACAAGATACAGTAACTGTGACATTTGGCTACTTTTATCACTTCTGTTTTATGTTTTCCAAGTTTATGCTTCCTTTAAATATAAATAAAACCAGACATACTATATGTATTATAAGATGTTAAATAATTTTAATATATTATTGTAAAGAGAAAGGTAATACTTACTTGGCACATTTACCTTAACAATCCAAAGAGGAAAAGAATTAATAATGCAAGATCATCTTAATCTAATGACACAATTAACTTTAATATTGGTTACATCCCAGGATGCTGTTAAAAGAATTCAAAAGTTCCGTCAGTGACCTCGACTCACTGCAACCTCCAATGCCCAGGTTCAAGCAGTTCTCCTCCCTCAGCCTCCTGAGTAGCTGAGACTACAGGTGTGCACCACCAAGCCTAACTGATTTCTATATTTTTTTTTTTTAGTAGAGATGGGGCTTCGCCATGTTGGAAAGGCTGGTCTTGAACTGCTGACCTCAAGTGATCCTCCCACCTCAGCTTCCCAAAGTGCTGGGATTACAGACGTGAGCCCCCATGCCAGGCCTCTTAGATATTTCTTACCTCTGGCTCAATTATTTTTTTAATGGATTTAACTACACTTCCTGAACACCTTCACTTTTTCCGGCCGACTCTCTGGCATTTTACTATCCTACATTTTCTTAGATGGACAATTGTAAGCAATAATGTGGCAAGATTCTTTCCAAATTATATTGCGTTTAATTTCTCACTTTTTTGGTGGTGATTGTTTATTGTTTTTGTTTTGTTTTGTTCGTGAGGTTCCTGTTCTTTCCACTTGTTCTCTCTTTAATGTTTTACTGTTTTTTCCATGCTTCCCTACTCTGGCCTTCCAAGACAAGAAAGTGACTAGATTTAGGTTAATGAGTCTATCCTCTAAGAATGCAACTGATAATAGCAAGTAAAGCTTATCTATACATTTGATTTCCTTAGCCATGTTTTTGGTCGACAGTCACAACGTTGTTATTGTTGTTTTCTATAGGAAGAAAAGACTAAATAACTCCTTCATTAATATTGATGGCAGTGGTGGCCCGTCTGGTATGGGAAGTGAGAACAGGCGGGACCCCGCTTCCTTCCAAGTTGGAGCGGTGGGAGCCTCTCCCTTCCTAGTGCAGCTGCAGCCACGCAGCTGCTACTGCAGATCTGGGCATCTCTGCACTCTCAGGGGCACAGAAAGCTCCCCTGCCCCTGCAGGCTTCGAAGTGCCTGGCAGCTTCCCACTCCGAGCACCCACTGTGATGTTGGAACAAAGTTGTCCCCGAGCCAGGGTGCTGTCATGACCTGGTTGGGTGTATACACGTGTGGGGCAGTGCTGACACACCAGCCCCCTGCTGCCTCGGCCCCATCTTGACTTTGGGTGCCAATGAGCATGGGGGGGAGGTCGAGGGGGAGCTAAATTTGGCCCTGTGTAGGCCTGCAGGCACTCCTTGGCTCGAACAGCCTGGGGCTGTGGACAACATGGATGGCAGGTTAATGGTGGCAGGAGGCAGACAGGGTTCCTGGAAGGAAACGGGCAGGTCCCCAGTGAAACTCCACCTACGGCCAGCGATGGCCTGAGGCCTGAGGGCCAGACCACCAGTTCTGTGGACCTGAGTGAGAACTTATGATGCTTTTTCCCGGCCTGTTCATGGCCATTCATGAACCAATCAGCATGCACTTTCTCCCCCTGAAGCCTATAAAAACCTCTGGGCTCAGCCAGACTCCCACAGTCAGCGGGACGACCTGCCTGCAGAGAGGAGTTACCCACTGTGAGTCTCCTCTCTTCTGAGAGCTGAGCAGATGTTAGGATGACCTGCCTGTGGAGGGGAGATACCCATTGTGGGCCTCCTCTGAGCTGTTCTATAGCTCAATAAAGCCCCTCTTTACCTACCTCACTCTCAGCTTGTCCATGTACCTCATTCTTTCTGATAGTGAAGGGAGAACTCAGGCCCCACCGAATAGTGAGACTGAAAGAGCAATAACAGAAACAGAGCTGAAACACACCCCTTGCTCACTACATTGTGGGCAATGAGAAGGAGAGAAGAGAGAAAGAAAGAAGAGTTACGGCCTTTTTGGGAGCCCAAACCTAGGAGCTCCCAGAGCCAGGGCTGTTGCACCCTCTTTGGGCCTGTGCGGTTCCTGGCATCTCCAAGCTTCTGGGTGCCACCACATTGCCGGGTGCCACCACATTCCGTGGAGCCAGCCGTGGAAGCTGCTTGTGGTACACCTGGTCCAGCAGTAGCTTCACAGGAGCCAGCACCCATGCTAGCAGCTGGGGATGCCCACCCCACCACAGCCAGTGTGCCTGGATGTGCACAGTGGCCGGACCCCATGCTCGTTCGTTCACACACCCCTCTCCACCCCGTGCCTGGCTCGCCCTTTGCAGGCATGGAATCCAGGCAGGTAGTGCAAGCTGAGCACAGCCTCCCAGGCCAAGTGGGCAGAACGAGCCCAGAAGGCCAGAGCAAAACTCGGGCAAAGGCACCAACGGCCACAGAGGTTTCCGGCCAGAAAAGTGGCACCCCAAGTATCCTGTGACGATGTTATTCTTGTTATTTATGTTATTACTGCTATCACTATTACTCTCTTAGGTGAAATGAATAGACCCAACAATGAATCTTCCCTTTTGTTACCTCCTATTTACAACACACATTATTAAGAATGCACTACCTAAGCATTGTGAATCTTTATAAAATATTGCTCTGGGAACCAAATGCAGAATAAGTTAGATTAAGGGAATTTTCAAATAAAAGCTTAAAACTACCTTTAATAATTTAAGCAGAAAGTTAAATTTGGTCATAAGATTGGTAATGGAAAATAAGAGATAAATTTTAGATATTGTTTAAAGAAAATATTCACCAAAAATGGTTCTCAGAAAATAAAATAGGATCAAAGAAAATAACAGATTATTTTCATTTGAATTTGGTATTAAAAGAATGATAGCAACATTATTCAAAAGGGTAAAATCATATTCAGGGGTCAATGTTGTGAGAGTATCACTCACATATCCACAATAGTCTATTGAAAGATAATATTAATTTTCTTATAACCTTCACAACTATGGGTATTATTTATTGAAGATAATTATTTATAGGTCTTACATATGGAAATGTACTGTTTTGCATTGCATTTCTTTGTCACTAGGGAACTTGAAGATTTTTTTGGCTATTATTCCTGTTTATTTTATTTTTGCAAATTACATTATAATCTTTTCCCTAATTTTATAGTTTTTGTATTTTTCCAATTGACTAAAAATATTACGAATTTCATAACAATCTTTGTGTATAACAAATATATTTAACACTTTGTGGCAGTTAGTTGGCCTTTCACTTTTATTAATGTGTATTATAATGCAAGTATTATGAACATGGGCTATAAGGGATTAAAATAGTGCTTGTATATCTCCACATATTGCAGGTTGAAATTTAAATATTGTTTTTATGTGTTTTAGGGGGAGATTTATGCTAAGGTTTCTCATTATATTTACAACTACCTTCTGGATAGTTATATATCTTATGAAGAACTGAAGCTTTAAAAGTTACATATAAGCTCATCACTTACTCCATCATTGTGATTAACGATGTCCTTTTTGTGATCATGAAACTGCCTTTCCACTCATAGTCATCCAGGCTTGAAATCTGAGAGTAATTATTTTACTCACAATTCTTTCATTGCTCAAATTAATTACACTCCTTAGTCTTGCTTATTCCAACTTCTCACTTTCTGTATTTAATTCATAATTTGATTTTTATTTCAACTGATTGAAACCTTTGTTCAAGTTTCTCAATAATTCTATCTTGAACAACTGCATTTATTTCCAAATTGTTTGTCTTATGTATTTTCTTTCTCTCTCTTTATTCCCCTTAGTAAGAGTAACAGCTAATATTTATCTAAGCATAATTCTAAGTTCTGATGTGTAGACTCTCATTTAATTCTTATAACTTCACCAGAGAGGTTTCGTATTTTATCATCTTTTATCTGCACTTCAGTGTTAACCTGCTTATAGATTAGAGAGATAAAAAGTTTTCCCAAGTTCACAAAGCAAGGGAATATTTTGCTAGAAATGAAATTATTATCTAGTTTAATAGAATATTGGCTTTTCTAGCCAGATAAAGTATCAATTATCTTTGAATCTTCAGCATCTGGCACAGCCTCTTTTGGAGGGAAATCAATTGATAATTATTTATTGATTCAGATGACTAAATAAGTTTTAAAATAAAAATAGGATATATTGCTATAAAGTAAATATCACCAGCAAAACCTAAATCATGTTTTGTGTAAATTGTTTCTAATATTGTTAGTTATTAATCTAAAATAGCAAGTGGTAGACCTTCAAATTCTTAGAGGCAAAAATGTTATGCGGTTCAAGGTTTTTGTATTTTCTATGAAATCAAAATGATTATTTAAATTAATAGTATTTGCTAATTAAAAAATGAAAGAACCTGACCTAAATTTAATTTACAGTGTTCCCCTAAACTCATGGTTTTTTGATATTACCCTTAACCTACTGTGATTTAACTTTACAACAACCATGCAGATTTAATTACACATTGACTCCTAAGGGATGCACTCATATATCCGTTTTCATCTCTCATGGACAGATTATTTGCAGTTAACTTACCAGCCACTGAAAATCAATTTTAATGGAAATACAAAACCTTAACTGCAGAAGAGCAAAAATACAGGTATAATACCACGTGGCAGGTCATTAAGTATAACTTCAGCTTTGTGTTCTTTTGATACAAGACTATGTCAACCATAAATAAGTGAGTATTTGCCACACAAGTCACACTTACCGGAAGAAGATTTGTCAAAAAAAAGTTTTAACGGGTCCAGCATTGAGCCCATTAGGGACCCTGGAGGAAATTCTGAGCTGCTTAGCAAGAAGGCACTAAACCAAAAAAAAAATTGTGCTGAAATGAAGTTAAAGGTTTAAGTGAAAACAGGAGAAGCAAGGAAAGGTACTTAAGTCTAAAACTCCATCATTAACCATACCAGCCAACTTACAAAGGGTTTCAAGCATAATGTGTAAGTTATTTAAAAAATCAGCAATAACACTAGGACAATATTTCCACACTTTGCCATAGTCATTTATTCTTATGCCTGTGTTTCAATAGTTCATACATTTATACAAGTATAGACATGTACTTTTAAAATATGCATTTGATTCTGCTTTTAATAAACTAAAATTCAAATAAATATGACCTATTATTAGTCAGGACCTAATAATGACAGTTGCAAATTATGTGATTTTCCCTCTCATGAATTAAATGGTTCAAATTCCTTAACTAGGGTCCTTCAAGGTCCAGCTTCTAAACTAAAAAATTACAGAGTTACCTAAAATGGGAAATTATACTAAGTTCTATAAATAAGCATAATTATAACTGTGAGTCTTAATAATTTTTAAAAATCTGTACTGTGACAAATAAAATACTTTAATCATTAATTTCACTATTATTCTTTTAAAATCTATGTCAATGGAGTCTTTATAAGTTGCTCATTTTTATTAATAATTTACATGATTTTTGTGAAATACAGCTTTCGATTATTCAGACAAATCAAGTGTATAACTTGAGAAATAAATAAAAATAAACTATCTCAAAATATTCACTAGGTGATACAGGGATTTTGAACTATGTGCTATCCTTATTGAATTCCTTTTTAGTTTTACATTTTGTAGCAATTTTTAAAAACACTAAGCTGAATATTCAGCTTGTTTGTTTTAAAACAAGCTGCAATTTAGTGAATCACAAACAAATGATAAAATATTTCCTGAGGAATTTTACTTTGTATTGAGTGGTATCTAATAAACGCTTTAAGGTTAGCAACGTTACCTCAATACCTTGTTTATTAGGTTTAGAAATAAGTCTTTGGTTGCTAACAAAAACAACAACAACAAAAACAAAATAAATGAGTTATATTTCCCCCAAGGCCTTTGGAATGTCTTTTAAATTTATCCAAGTTTAAAATATATTTCAAAGATAGTGTATGAAGTGCCATGCACTGGAAATTTTTATATCTCAACTCAACTACCTGGAAGTTTATCCACTACAAGTTTTACAATGGAAGGACTTTTTTGGTTTTGTTTACTGCCTATAACCTAGAACATTTCCTGGCACATAATAATAGCATATTAATGTTTGTTAAATGAAAGCTACTTTCCAATATCAAATATCATTTTTTAACAATAAACTGTGATTGAAAATTCAGTTTTGTCCACACTACCCAGAGGAAAGCCTGAATTATTTAATCTTACTGACACATTTCTAACTAGAACGTCTAGTTGCTGGAGGCTCAAGTTGAAATCCCTGGACTTTCTAGTATAATGTGAGTTTAATCTTTACTGCCAATTTTGTTCTGGCATGAACATGAATTATTTTTGCAGCATTTATCATCAGGGAAGCTGCTATACAAAAAGCAATATACTGTGTTTGACTGTAAAATGAGAACCAATATTTATGAACTACTTTAGAACACATTTTTGTACTTAGAATAATGTAAGTATAGACATGTATTTTATTTCAGTAACTTTTTGTAGTATAAGAAGGCATGTTTTCAGCTAAAAGTAGGTCATTAATGGGAATATACTAAGTTGATTTTTATGAAACAAAAATAATCTTCATAACAATATTTTTTCAAAATTTGCAAATTTACTTTCGGCAAAGTAAAGTGCAATAAGGGCCACTACTAAGCAAACTAGTGATGCATTTTTTTGTTGTTGATAAGAGTGTATTGTTATTGTCTCACTTCTAAACTCCTCTATCCATCTTATTTAAGTTCCTTTTTGTTCAGTAAATACTGCTCTTTTGCTCTCTCCAGCTTTCTGGTTTGTACTAAGGTGTAAATCTTTGGGATGAATTAAGGTGCTTTGGCTTCCAGTTTAATTCTTTTGTAAGGAAAAATGAGCCTTAAACAAAAACAATAAAACCTTAAAACTCAAATATCTATATGGAATAGCAAACTATATTGTTAAATGAATGGCTGCCCAAAATTATAAAATGATACTTAATCGATTGCTTATATAACATCTATGTATATAACCTAATTTGGACTTGCTTTTTTAGTGAATATTTCTTCAGGGATTCATTGTATATTGCAATAGGAACAAATGACACAGGAGAAAAACAAGACGAAGTGGACTAACTTTTAATGTCCAAGTGAGAAAAGAACAAAACATAAACATGGTGTAATTGTTTAAACTTAAAAGCCACAAAATACTTTCAGGTATTAATTGTTATACTCGAAGTGGCATTTATTTACTTAGGCTTTACTTTCATGGAAGGGAACGCCTTAACGGAATAATTCTCAACTAGCAAGTGTATCGAGAGAAGAGTACTCTCTGCAAGTGTGTTGGAGAAAAGGGTAGGGATCTACCAGAATCTGAGATGTTCTGACTATGGGACATGCACTGCTTTAAGGAAGAACATTTAATAATGTATTTGTATGTTTATATAAAAACATTAAATAAATTATGGAAAGCAATTCTGCATCTAATTTTCTGGTAAGATATATGAGCCAGCATAAAAAACTCATTTTACTATCTTTTTATTGGGCCAGTCTCATTATCACCCATGTCAGTTTGAGTCCTCCGAGGAGTACACACCAAGATGAAATTTGATGTGCAAAAAATTTCCTGATAAAATATCTGAAAAGACTAAGGTGAGGGAGAAGCTGTAGGCAGAATGGGTAAACAGAATCTCAGAATGCAGCTCAGTTAATAATATGTGGCCAGGTCAGTGTGGAGACTGGTAGAGGAGTCCCACAAGCTGCAGGAAGGGATTAGCATGAGCTCCTCTGTAGTGCTTAGTCACTGGATCAGAGAAGCCTGCTGAAAGCATGATCTTGTCATGAATGCGCTTTTGGATCTATAGAGGAGGCAGCCAGGGATGTCACCCAACCTCATCCCCTGTAACATGTTCTCTTGAAGGAGGTGAGCAGCAGATTTTTATGTCACCATACAGAAACTGAGAAGAGATGCACAGACATTTTGGGTTGATGGAAAAGTTCCAGGTCTTTATTTTCTGGTAGTTACAAACAGTTATATATTTGTCAAAATTCATCAAAAAGTAGATGTATTTTTGTATGCAAACTTTATTTAAATAATGTTAATTTTTTAAAATAGGCATTAACATTTTGATTTCTTTAATGTTTAATATTTTACTGTGACTATTTCTTTACCACATCATATTACTAATATGTTTTCTCATTTTTTAAACACCATCCTTTCTGTTTTAATATTATTCTTTCTGAAGTGTACGTTTTAGTGGTCTCTTTAGTAAAGGCCTATGGGAAGTAAACTTAGAATTTTGGTCTAAAAAAATTCTTCAATCCCTCTTATTCTTGAATGGCTGTTAAAATGGGAATCAAATTCTAGATTGACAGTAATTTAGAATGTATTATTTTGAATGCATTGTTCCCCTGTCTTCTGGCATCTATTGTTACAAATGAGAAATCTGTCAGTCTGTCAGACTTTTTAAAGCAGACTTTACGTTATTTTTCTTTGTCTTTGAAGTTCTGTAATTTCACTCTGATGAGTCTCAGTGTGAAATTGTTTTTGTATTTCCTACTTGAAACTTGATGTGATCTTTTAATTTGAGAACTCGTGTCTTTCTTCAACTCTGGAAAATGTTCAGACTTTATTTCTATGAAAATTTTCTCCTCTCCATTCTGTTTGTTATATTTCTGAGACTCCTAACAGTCAGTGTTCTTAATTGCAAGCAAAACAAATAATCTACTTGATTTAAGGAGGAAATAAACCACCAGGGAGGCTGGAGAATGAAAATCAGAAAGTGAGCAGAAGTACAGGAAAGTAAAGCAATCAGCACCTGAGACAAGAGCATACCACAAACAACCCTGGAGAGAATACTGCCATGACTGCAGACCATTAGACCTGGTGGATTGCATGGGCGGCCTCCCTAGTGCTGGACACTGGACACTGGTTTTACAGCCACCTCCACTGGGCTCCAGACTAGATGTTGTTGTCCTTATAGGAAAAGATGCTGCACTGTTCCTTCTTTACACATTAGTTCCCCGTTACTGTCCAAAGTGGATGTGTTTTGTTGGCCTTGCCTAAGGGGTATATTCCTGCCATTGCTGCCAAGGCAGGTTAAGAAACTAGGTATCTGTCCTTTTCGGTGTCTATCATGGGATACAGGATCTGCCTTCCATCAATTCTCGAAATGTGAAATATTTCTTTTTCTTTTTCTTTTTCTTTTTCTTTTTTTTTTTTGAGACCAAGTCTTGCTTTGTCACCCAGGCTGGAGTTCGGTGGCACAATCTTGGCTCACTGCAACTTCTGCCTCCCAGGTTCAAAGACGAAGTGTTTCTCGTGCCTCAGCCTCCAGAGTAGCTGGGATTACAGGCACCCGCCATCATGCCCAGCTATTTTTTTTATTTTTATTTTTATTTTTCGTAGAGAGAGGATTTCACCATGTTGGCCAGACTGGTCTGAAACTCCCAACCTCAAGTGATTCACCCACCTAGGACTCCCGAGGTGCTGTGCTGGGATCACAGGCATGAGCCACTGTACCTGGCCAAAATGTGGAATATTTCTTAATAGAAATATTAAGAAAATAAACAATAGTTTCAGCACGATTAGAATATTCAGAATATAATATAAACTTAATAGTTTAATTCAGAATATATTATAAACTTAATAGTTTCAGAACTTCAGCTTTCTGAGTGATAAGGGTCACCATGATTCAACACCTTGAATATCTGTCTTCCAAAAAAATGTTCAAATCTAATATACCTTTTCTTCAAATAAACAAAAATGCCCTCTCTCTTTTCCAATGCTAATGTTTATCAGTTATTCCTAATGCAAATTTCCATTCCCCGTTATGATCTCACCTCAATATATGGTAATCTATGAGCTACTGTGCCAACTTATCCATAACATTAAATGTAAAACTGGAGAAGAGGGTATTTTAGCATAAATACTAAATATGTTAAAATACAGTTATATTGCTAACACATCATAGATAAAAAATATGGATAACTATCATCACTGTTCTTACTACCCTTATTTTCCGGACAATATTGGATATAATGACTTCAATTTACTTTATCTCATTTTTCAATGATTTTAACTACTGCTTTATGGTACTCTTTCCTATTTGATTTCAATGTCAATTCTCAGTAATTTTAATATACACATAGATTATCAGTACAAGGCCTTAGCTTCTCTGTTATTTGGCACATTCTGCTTAATGATTTTGTTCTACAATCTCTCCACCAGCCATTAGTCTCACAATCTCATGGCCAATCTCTAGACCTTCTCATTACCAATATCTGCATACCTTCCACAAATTCAGTAATGTTTGTCCTACTCTTTAAACACCACCTATTATCATTCCAGGTCACTTCCTCTTGTACCATAGCCACCTCTACTACTTACCTGGAAAGGTAGCTACCAACAGTGTTCCATATAGCAATTTATTTGGCAACTTCAGTTTTAGAGTAAGTACAAATAGTAAGGACTCCAGCCAATTCATGTTGTAGGAACACGTAGCTTCCTAGTTGTCTTGATATCTTCTAGGCAAATCCTTACTCTAAGGCCATTGTACTGACTACGGGCAATGTTCATAAGACATATATATTTGCTGTTTAAAAGAATGGCTATGTTGAGGTTTATTTGTTACAGTGCATAACTTAGACTATGCTGATGGAAAAATAAATTGTCTTCCAGAAGTGCAACGTTGTTATAACAAGGTCTTGAAATATCTGGCTGTAGCATAGAAGCCTGGGGGCAAATAGTGAAGATGCAACTGACAACCATCTCCAGGATGGTTCCCCACGTTAGGCAGTGGTAATATATTTGACTTAATAAAATGCATCTCTAGTTACAGATGTTGGAAAGCAGAATGCTAATAGTGTGTATTGGTTACTGGCACTGACTGGAGACTGATGACTTAAGAAGATAAATAATTTATTCATCAATAAGTATAAAGGCGATGAGAATGATAGGAGGTGATAATTTTCCCTTCCCACCCTTCCACCCAGCACACAACTAGAAAAAGGTAAAATGGAAAAGGCTGGTGTGTGAAGGTCAAATTAAGGTGTGGACTTCATGCTTATATTTTTCCAGATGTATTCAGGTGTATAAAAATGAAGGCCTAATATTTTAAAAGTATACTTTAAAATCAGGTTTGACATAAGTATACAATCCAAGAAACCATTACCACAAAGAAGATTAGCAATATTGTCATTACCCTCAAATGTTTTCTTGTGATTTTTGTAATCCATCCCTCCTCTACCCTTACCCCCCCCACCCAACTCTGCCAGGCAACCACTGACCTGCTTTCTGTCACTTTTAAAGCCAATGAATGGATTAAAGTGTCCCAGAGCAAAGATCAAGTTAAGAATGTACAGCCTACTTGAATTTATATTCTTTCAAATGTACAAAATGCCTCAGGGAGAAGAGAATAGATATGTGACTTTCTAACTAAAGCATAGAAGGTTCAAGGAAGCTGGAAATAAATAGGGAGAAAGACACATGGGTTAGCAAGAAAAAAAATAGAGTTGTGAGATTTATATCTCAAAAATAATTGTATATATTGTTTCTGGCACAGCAAATGTATTGGAATTAAAGGAGTACAATATCCATGGATTTTTGAAAAAAAAAAACTGTACTTTTAAAAGAACCAGAAGCCTGGATTGTTTGAAACTGAAAATGTCCACTCATGCCCCTTGCTTTCCTTGTCTAGAAAGAAAGCTGTCATCTGCTCAGCTGCCAAGGAGTAATTTCCAGAAGCAGAATTAAAGATTGATAAAGGATCATTTCACACTTCCAGGTTTAAGAGCCTTCCTAACATTTGTCCTGAAAATTTTTAGAAATGACTGTTGTGTACCTTAGCGGTTTATTGATAAATGTTCAACCAGTTCCCTGACAAAAATAATCCTGATTTGTAGTGTTTACCCATTTCTCTAGTGTAAATATTTCCAACGTGGCCAATTTCAGACTATTATTGTGATGTTAACTTACACAACTTTTTTTAAAAAAATTAACAATTGGGCATTGTGAACCAGTATAATCTGACTTGAGCACATCACCACCTGTGTCCCTTATCCCCCTCTTTACAAATGTGACTATTATGGCTATATTGTCATTGTTCCACTGCGATATTTGGAATAGGTAACTTTTCCTCTCAATTCATATTTGGAATGCATAAGTTGTCCTTTCAGTTCATATTTGAACAGACATAACTTGTCCTTTCAATTCATAGTCATCAGATCAAACAGGTGCAACTAGAAGCAATAACAAAACTACTACACACCACACAGAGGTCCTGGACTTGAGACAGATGTTATAACTAGCTGTAGGCTTTAGGATTTCTCCTTTGTGAAGGGGTAAAGTGGAAGAAGACAGTGAGTCTAATATTTGAAGAACAGAGGGACACACTGTGATAGTCACTAACATAGCTTACTGAATATGTTTGGCACCCAAAATTTCAGGCATATAGGAGTACAAGTCCTTGATATTTCCTTCTTTTACCTCCTTGACTTATTTTCCTAGTTTCGTTCTTCTTGTCTTGTCACCTTCACTCGCCCAACACTGGCCTTCTAATAGTGTTGATACCTAGCATGCATATTCCCACTTTAAGGCCATTGCATTGGCTAAGGGCAAAGTTTCCTGTGCTTGAACCAATATTTTCCCAGTTACCCATTGAACTATCCATTTCCTTCAAATCTTCATTCAAATATGATGTCAATGAGGCATGGAAACCGTACTATTTCCCTAAACCTGACATTCTGGATTCTTTTTCAATTTTCCTTTTTTTTCTTCATCACATCCATCAGCCTACACTATACTATATAACATAGTTTCCTGTGGTAGTTACTGCTTATATTTGCTTTGCTCCCCATGAAAACGTAAGTTCAAGAAGGAAATATTTTTTATTTGTTGTTTATTCTTTTATTTTCCACTAAAGTATCCCAACCCATGCAATTATTGTTTACCCCTAGTAATATTCAATGAATAGGTAAGTGAATCACATGGTGATTTTTAAAAAGAGTCAAGTGTAATGGTCCCTGGTATTTGGGTTATATTTCCATTTTAGGGACTTCAAGGTGAGGAAAACTGCATTTAACACTGAGGGTCATCAGAGCAGCCTTAGTGAGGTGAAGTTTCTTTTGATAAGCTGCCAAATAGCCTCCATTTTTGTCACCATGGATATTTTGTTTGTCCATAAACTCCGCAGAAATCACTGAGGTTTTAAGGGATATTAGGTGACTGATATCCTCAGAGCAAGTCATTCCGTCTTCATGAATATTAAGAATCTCCTTCACACTGCAGGCTTTTTATTTCAAAAAGGATAAAGCTATTCTTCTTTTGTTTTGTCATTCAAACTGCAAAATTGCTGCAGGTATCTCTCCAGACATGTTAGGTTGAAAATTCATCATAGATACCAGTGCTATCATTATAGATTTCGTTTTCAATACTTGCTTTTCTTTTCATTGGAATGATCCTGAGGCTGTGAAATGACTCAGATCTGGAATTTGGTTAAAGGCATGTGAAAACCTGTGTGGCTCAAGACTGGTCTTTTAATAAGCAGACTCAGGAAGTTTCTTTGGCTATAAAATTAGACACTTAATGGGATACCCATATATTTTGGCGCTGGGGACACTTGTCAATTTCCTCATTCCAAACATTCTTATGTAGTAAGTAATTTGATTATTATTTTGATGTTACCATCCAACAGCTTAACTCTGTTAGTTAAATGTCCTGCCATGTCTTTGCCATTTGGGATTGTACCATATCTACTGAAGTATCACCCATCTGTACCATCACACCTACCGATGACTTTAGCCTGTATGAAACTGTCATAAAACCACTTTTAATTTCTCAATACTTTGGTGACAAGACAATCTCTCAGTCGCTAAGGAGAAATATATAGTAATAGAATAACTGTATCACATATTACAATCCACTTTAATAGTCTCTGAATTTATGTTTACCACATCATTCTAAGGATTTTCCAATAACTCAACGTTGTTTCACTTCCTCACAGTAAACCAACCAAAGAAACAATTAGAACTAGATGCTCAATGTATCATATTAAATCTAGACTCCCTGGAAATGCATTAACATTAGGGTTCTCTGATATGAGTGATATTACCATTTAGGGCTGAAAAATTCTTTGCTTTAAGAGATTACCCTGTGCATTATAGGATATTTATCAAAATCTGTGGTATCTACCCATTAGAAGCCAATTTTATCCTCCACCAATTTTGACAATTAAAAATGTCTGCAGATATTGGCAAATGTTGTTTGGAGAACAACATTTCCCCTTATTCAGAACCACTGATTAAATCAATACATTCAGCCAAAGTCAAATTATTTTTGCCTTTGTGGTCAAGCAATTCCCGAATGTATATCTACTTAAATTCTCCAGATATTTTCTAATATAAAGTAGTCACATCTGACAACTTTTGTGGTCTGTTATCTCCATTGGATTCACTGGCCTCCTGAAGCATGCTAGATTGTGATCCTGGCTATAGGCCTGAAATGCTCAGAGATAGTGGAATTGGATTTTGAGTTTAGCTTTTTCTTGAAACGTAACTTTAGGTGAGGCCACCCAGCATTATGAATCAAGGCACAGGCTGTCTCATAGTCTATGGCAGATAGAAAAGTTTTGGTTAGCAAGAGAAGTACAGTATTTATTCACTTAAAAAAAAACAAACTTCTTCAATGACTTTTTAATATCGATGAATATTTTTTTAACTTCTGTAATTTTGTTCTGATGCAAGTACACTTAAAAAGTAGAGATAATTTTTCATAATCTATGCTTGGCCTTTGAGTAGTATTATGTCTGTGAATATTTTGAACATACTTATTTCAATAACTTTAAAATTTACATTATTGCCAATTCTTGTGATGAGATACAATTTGATTTCTGGAATAACCTGACTTTATTTGCTTTTATTTATTTATTTATTTATTTATTTATTTTACTTTGAGTTCAATTTTATTGTGATGTATTTTCTATTTTTTTCAAATAGAAAATACATCACATGTTTACATTTGCACTTCTAAGATTAAGAATTTTAAAAGTTTATAGCATTTTCTCATGTACATTTACCTGAAATTTCTGCATCCTTTAGGAAACATGATTTAGCATCCATTCCCAGGCATGTTGCAGACTTAGGACTTTGATTTCTTTACTTTGTGTAAAGTGTCTTTACTTTGTTATGAGCCTGAATGATTAGCAGGCTTACAAAATAGAACAAGGAGTTCTGAATCTTTGCCAGCCTTTCATAGCTCCTTGCTTATGGGATCATACAGATCTGGATTCCACAGCAAAATATAAAGTCCTTAGTTTCCATTCCCATGCAGACATTAACATCCCAACTCCCATTGTTCAGGTCTTTCTCTAGTTCTGACTTACCTGAGATCTTGCTGGCTTGAAGTCTCACAAATCTTAACTATGATTTCCATTTTTTTTTCTTTCTGGTTTCTAAATAGTTTCCTCCTTGGTTTGAGCTAAACTTGTTCTGAAAGTTGTTTTAGATATATATTTTCTTATCCTTGGAATGGCAAAATGAGATGTGAGAGTTCCTACCACAAACCTGAATCTGCCATATTAAATAGAAGTCAGCACAAGGTACACTTCAATTAGAATATATATCATATTATGTTTATTTTTCTGAGATACCAAAAGTCAAGATTTGACTCACCTCTCAGAGATAAATTAGTGTGAATTTAAATAATAATTCAGAATATTAGTCTCCCAATTCTACTACTTCAATAACCTTGCATATTTTCTCTTTGGATTTTTGTTTTTTTTACTCGAAGTAATTAAACTGGGCAATGTAGATAAATAGATGGTAGTCTATATATATTCTTTAAAAGTATATTTCTTTTTTTCAAAGAGAATTTTAATGTGAAAAATTAGCAGAGATTCTGTCTTCAAAATTAGAGTTTAACATGAGTCTTCCAGTGTTTTAAAAAGAACTGTAATATACATAAAGCAAAATATTTTGGCATCATCTAGTGAAAACAGACGATGTGGTATTTTTTCAGCTATCTCATATAGTTAGGCCCCGAGTTATAATTTGAGGTAAGTTGATTCCTAAACAGAATGAGCTTTACAGAATGTGACCAATTATATTACTCCCAAGGACCTTGTTTCAGATTATCTTAAAACCAGAGTTCACTGATCTCACATTTTAAAAAGTAAAAAGTTTGTTAACTGTTTTAATCAACATAAGTAGTAACAAACTTCCCTAATTGGATTCTAGAGAGGAAGCAGGGAAGGCCAGGCGCAGTGGCTCACACCTGTAATCCCAGCACTTTGGGAGACCGAGGTGGGCGGATCACGAGGTCAGGAGTTCAAGACCAGCCTAGCCAACATAGTGACACCCTGTCTCTACTAAAAATACAAAAAATTAGCCAGATGTGGTGGCAGGTGCCTGTAATCCCAACTACTCAGGAGGCTGAGGCAGAGAATTGCTTGAACCTGGGAGGCGGAGGATGCAGTGAGCTGAGATCACGCCACTGCACTCCAGCCTGGGCGACAGAGCGAGACTCCATCTCAAAAAAAAAAAAAAAAAAAAAAAACGAGAGGAAGCAGGGAACAACTGAGCCAAAACAAAATTATCCCCTAAGGACTTCCACATAAATGTGACCTTGTAGAACTAGATACATATTTATCAGGTAAATATGTAATTATTTAGTAATTAGATCAAGATACATGAGCAGTCTTTAGCATTAATAATTACATTATTTTTAGGAAATCTTATCAAATATGGTCCTGGATCTCTTAATTTCCTATATGCAGTGATTTTAGTTAAAATTCCAAAGGATTTTTTTTCTATAACATCTCCATTTCTGAGTATCATCATACCGAAACAATTAGTATTCTCTTATTCAAAGCTTTAGATGTTTGATTATTCCCTACCCTTCCGTCCTCACACACACAATAATTGCCCAGATAAATAATAACCTGTGGTTTCAAAGTATCTCACTGGGATTTTTATTTTTTGTACCTTGCAGGACTAGTCCAAGATTTGAATACCCTGAACTTATTTGGCAAGAGCTATGAGTACTCTTAAAATTACTACCTGGAAATTATATTATTTAGAATCTGCCAATTACCTAGATCCCTCCTGAACAATCGTTTTACTAATGAACTTCCTGAAAGCACATGTATAAGTATCATAACTCTAAGAAAATGTTTCAAATGTTATTATATTTGATAGAACCATTCAGTTAACAAAATACTAAATCATAAACTGGCTTTTAGAATTACACACTCAAAAAAGCAGTACACTACAAGAGTTGTTTTGTACACTTCATTCTCTTTGAATGCCTTTGTGGCTTACAGTGATGATCACATATATTACTTCCTTGCAACATTTTTCATTTTGATCTTCGTTTGTAATGGATAACTGGGTTTTCAGGGGTGTGAATCATAGTTGTATAATTCACGGTGGGAAAGTATCCATCAATGAGATCAAATTCATATAAACGAAGCATAGTGGACCAAATTGTCTTAATTTGAACATAGGCAAAATTTTCCCCAGTACAACCATGATGCCCAGCTCCAAATGGCACATAGGCAAACTTTTCCCTTGATGCTGGGTTATCCTATAAGTAGCGATCAGGATTAAAGTCCAGGTGTTCTACCCATGAATCTTTAAGTCTTTGATTGACAGTAGGAGAAACACACACCTGATGTCCCGGAGGAATGGTATACCCTGCCACAGTTTTAGGAATTCTGGCCATTCTCATCATGATCATTACAGGATGTCTAAGTCTTAATGTTTCTTTTATACAGCGATCAAGTAAATTTAGATCCTTGAGCTGGTCATAAGTTAAAGGAGGCAGATTCTCTCCACAGACTGTTTTCTGTTCTAAATAACATTTTTCTTGAAGTGTTTTGTCTCTGGCCAAAAAGAAGCCCATCTAAGCACTAGTTGAGGATGTATGCTGCTCTGCCAAGAGTAATCCAGTAAGCATCCCTGCTACTTCATCATCAGTCAAAGGACGCCCATCCTTGTATGTAGCATCTAGTAAAGTTTGGAGAATGTCATCAATTTTTTCTTGAGACTGTCTGCGTTTCTGGATTGCCTTATAGAAAATATCCTTGATTTCCTGATGAGCTCTGTCCCTGCGTCTGAAACTAGGCAAAGGCAGCCAACCTGGTAAGAGCCAGGCTGCATGGCTGAAACCTCCATCCAAATCTGCATACAGCTGTGCTACCTTTTCATTGTGTTGACTTCTGATTTCCTTTCCATGCAAATAATGGCTAGCTGTTAAAATTATGAGCTCAGAAAGAGCTGCAAACACATTTTTTTCTCCACTTTCTCCCCAACTCTCAAAGTATTCCTTTGTTTCTTTTTCAATTATAGAAACATGCTATTTAAAGTGGGCTATATTAAGGCCACTTTTTAACGTTTTCTTCTGCTCCAAGAAAACTGGATTAGGCACATCGTATGCAACTCCCTACCCAAACACAGGTGTTGTCAGGCGACTGTAGACATCTTCTGCATTCAGGACTTCATTTTTACTATTAAAAAGCAGTGCAGCAGCATCACTACCCAGAAGGTAAGTAAATGCCTTGCCTACCATGATAAAACTAAATACAGGTCCATAATTCCCATATGCATTTTCTAGAAATTCAGTTGGACTTTTCCCAAATGCTATGGCATGCCCAAGGAAAGGAACTGGGGAGAAAATGTACGGAGGACTTTTCGCCCCTGCGGTCAGCTGGACCAGGTGGCCGGCAGCGAGACGGAACAAGTAGACCAGGCTGAGGGTGAAGGCGCAGGCGATCAGCAGCATGGACAAGAGGTTGCCGCCTGCCACCTCCTCCATCGCCTGGCCCAGCACCTACCCACCCGCCTGTAGCAAGCCCAGCAGCATCATCCCGGCCGCCGCCGCCATTTCACTCTGTCGGAGACACTGAAGGCCGAGGTCGCCACCGATCCTCCTAATCGACGGAGCAAGAGAAGCTGGCAGATGGTCGTCCACAGGCAGCCCCGGCCCCCAGGTCTCCTACTCAAAAGTATATTTCTTTATTCAATAACTATTTATGGAGTACATACCAAGTAGCAAGCACTCTTTCAGTTAACAGGGATATTCATTGACAAATATACAAATATTTCTCACTTTCAGTGGGTTTGTATTCTAATTTGGGACTCAGAAAGTACACAGATAGACGCACACACACGTACACAGTATAATATAATAAATACAATGTAATCATAGAGACACTGGTAGATACATGTTATACAAAAAATAAAGGAAGTTTACTGAATCAAATGGCAGTACAATTTTTAGTTATTAGAGAATCTCCATAGAGGTCGTGCTAATTTACAGTACCACTAGTATTTTGTAAGTGTTCTCTTTTCTGTGTGTAGTAATCAACCTAGGTGTCTGTCAACAAATGATTGGATAAAGGAAATGTAACACACATATATATATATATAAAACATATATATCTCATATAATATATAAAGTATGTGTAACATATATAACATATAACATATATAACATATAAAATATATGTAACATATATATTTCATACACACACACGTTGGAATACTACTCAGTTATAAAAATATTAAATCATTTTCTTTACAGTCACATGGATGAAACTGGAAGCCATTATCCTAAGTGAAATAACTCAGAAATAGAAAGTCAAAAACTGCATATTTTCACTTATAAGTGGGAGCTAAACAATGGGTACACGTGAACATATAGAATGGAATAATCAATATTAAAGACTCCAAAAGGGAGGAGGGTGAGACGATCAGAGGGGGACGAGGGCTGAGAAATTATCTACTGGGTACACTGTTCACTATTTAGGTGATAGTTTCAGTAAAATCATAGATATCACCTGTACACAATATCTCCATATAAAAAAACTGCACTCATACTCCATAAATGTATTAAAATAAAAATAGAGGTTAATTGGAAAAGACTGAAGTCGGGAGGATTATTACAAGTAGAATGATCAAAAACACTTCTCAAGATATAAAATTTGGACAGCTTGTAAATTAAAATTGTTAAAATATATAATTGGAAAGTTTGTGAGAAGAATTTTCCAAGCAGGAAAAACAGAAATTCATATGCCCTGACATGGGAACAAACTTGTCATGTAGCAAGAAAATTGAGGCCACTAATGCGAATGCATGGAATAAAGGGGAAAGAGTGTTAGAATTGGGCATTGGAATTCAGCAGTAGCCAAGGGCCATTAAAAGATGTTCACATTCGAATCCCTGGAACTTTTGAATATGTTATGTTACATGGCAAACGGGAATTAAAATTTCAGATAGAACTAAATTTGTTTATCAGCTTATTTTGAAATGGGGAATATACAGTAGATTATCTGGGTGGGCACAGTATAATCACAGATTTCTTTATAAGTAAAAGAGGGAACCAGAAAAGTCAGTGTCAGAGGACTACAATAGGAAAGACTCAATAGTCATTGCTGACTTAAAGACAGAAGAGATCCATCAACCAGAGACTACATAGGCAGCACCTTGAGAACTGTGAAAAGAAAAGAAATGGATCTCCCCTAGAGCCTCAGGAAGGAATGCAGACCTCAACACATCTTCACTGTAGCCCAGTGAAATCCATTTTGCATTTCTAATCTCCAGGACTATAAGATAATACATTTGTGTTGATTTAAGTGTTATGTTTCTGTTTCTGTTTTACTGCAGTGTTAGGAAACAAATACAGGCTTCTCATCTAGGGCCTTTTCAGAGGCCTTCAGTAGCACTTTGGGTTTTGTTCTAACTTTATAGGAACCCACCACAACATAGTTGGCAAGAAAATAATACAATATACCTTATTGATTTACAACAATATTCTAGCTAACCCATAGAGGGTAGTTCAGAAGGGATTATCAATTTAAGCAACAAGATCTGTTAGAAAGATATTGTAATAGTCCAGATGAAAGGATATGAAGGCCTTATATTTTAAATAGAAAGCAACTGTAGGACTGGTAAGAGCTGTAGTTCATAGATGGTGATATAGATTGTGTCCAAAAGTGATAGCTGAGGGTTGAGGAAAAAAAAAAAAAAAGGAATCAGTGAATACATGCTATCTAAAGTCAGGGGACTGGAAGTGAATACCTTGGTAGAATATAGATGAAGAAGAAAAGTGGTAGAGGGACTAAGCCATGGAAATATTCTTAATCAGAGGCTGGGATAAAGAAGATCCAGAAAATTAGAACCCATAAGAAATGACTTAAGAAGTAAGTTGAAGTCTAGTAAAGTACGTATGTCCTGAAATAAAAATTTAAAAACTATTTCTAAAAAGTAGGAATGATTCATTGAGTCCAATGCCACTGAAAAACAGATAGTAATTTGAGAATCAAGAATTAACCATTGTCACACAGGATTATTTTGCAACATTAAAATATATATATTTAATAAAATTATGAGGAAAATGCCTTCTTAATCTGAATTTAAGAGAAAATGTGAGGTGAAGAAATAAATGTTGTCAGCTGTTTTTAATATTTAATATTTGCTTCTATATTGAAAATGTTCATTCCCTGAAAATTCCAGGAAGAAAAATTAGAGGAAGTGAAAGAAAACTTGAAATTAATAGTGGGAACTTACAATTATTGAATAATTATAATATTTTAATTTACTAAACTTAATTGGTTCCAAGAAACATAATTTTAATATAATAATCCCAGGACATCCTACAATAGGATAAATAGATAGGGATAGATAATATGTGTGGATTTGTCTATCTGTCTATCTACCAGCTTAATTAATTTCAGGATCACAATGTTACTAAGTAAAAGAGAAACTTAACATTTTAAAAATTGCTTTAACTATTTGTACCTCCTTTTTTATTTTCATTAGAAAACTGGGACTTTAAAGAAACTGTAAATTGATCAGGCATTGGGGCTCACACCTGTAATCTCAATGCTTTGGGAGGCTGAGATAGGAGGATTGCTTGAAGCTATAAGTTTGAGAGCAGCCAGGGCAACATAGTGAGACCTCATCAGTATAAAAAATAAAATAAAATTAACCAAGTGTGGTGTCATATGCCTGTAATCCTAGCTACTCAGGAGTCTGAAGAGGGAGGATCACTTGAGCCTAGGAGTTCCAGGTTATAGTGAGCTGTGATCACTCCAGCCTGGGTGACAAACCAAGACTTTGTTTCAAAAAAAAAAAAAAAAAAAAAAAAAAGATATGGTACTTGCTATAAATTAATTGAAAATGTTTTAAACATTTGCTGAAAAACAAATTATGCCAACATGTCCTTAGTTAAACATGTGGTATCAGAAATCAAATTTCCAGAGAGATGTCTGCAAAATTTGTAAACTAGAAAGCCCCTGGCTCTCATTCTGTCATAGAAACGTTTTAAAAAATAAAACCACAACAACTCCCAAAAACTAAACTTGAGGCTGGCTAAAGAAACTTTATGAGAACTCTTAAAAACAGTTAAACGCCTGCAGAGAGCAAGAAAACATCCATCAGAAGACAGTCACATTCAAAACAGTCAGAAATTTAATGGCATTTTTAGTCTTCCTTGCCCTGCTATCTCCTCAGCCTGGTAAAATCTTCCTCTGAAAGAGGCAGTATCCTAGTCCTTAATACTCTCATTTTAATGGAAAGGAGAAAATTCCTTATTTGCAATGTACCAATCTGTCTGGAGGCAGCCAGAAGGACTGGTCTCTCTTCCAACCAACTCAGGTTGGAGCTCAGGTGAGAGAGTAGAATATAGTGTTCTAACTTGGACCTCAGGCAGCACTTGAAACCAAATGCTGCTTGGGAAAACTGCAGGGAGACAAAGAATCACAGACTAGGGCAAGAAATTAGAGGAGAAGACACAAGAGACCATGTAAGGCCCCTCAAAATCTATGAAAAATCTCTTCAGGAAATTAGGGAATTCAAAAGCATCTGTGTATACAGGATAATCAAAAAAGCCACACTCATGCCCAGAGAAAAGATGAACACTCAGAAAAGTTATAAAACTATGTAAAGTTTTTACCTTAGGCTGATCACAAAGAGTAAAGCATACCCAACTAACAAGCAGAAGTCTGTCTCAACATGTTTGCTAAAACTGGAAGAGGTTGCCGATTTATTTTAATGACCAATTTTTCAAAACAAAAAAATTACAAGGCACAAAAGAAACAAGGAAACATAGACCCTTCAAAGAAAAAAATAATTCCAGATTGCATTCCTGAGGATAGATGGATACTAGATTTGCTAGACCAAGACTTTAACAAAAACAAAATTGTCTTAAATATGCTCAAATAGCTAAAGGAAAACTTGCACAAAGAACTAATTAAATTAGGAAAATGGTAGATGAAAAAATGTGAATTTCAACAAGGAGATGTAAAATTATTAAAAAGAACCAAACAAAAATCTGAAGCTAAAAATTACAATAACTGAATTGAAAATTTACTAGAGCATCTCAACATCAGATTCGAACATGCAAAAAAAATCCATGAACTGAAGATAATACATTTGAAATTATTGATTGTGAGGAGCATAGAGCAAAAAAGAACAAAGAAAACTTAACAGAGCCTAAGGGACATATATCATACCATCAAGCAGACCAATGTACAAATTATAGAAGTCTTAGAAAGAGAAGAGAGAGGTGGAGAGACTTCAAAGAAATGATAGCTGAAAATTTTTCTAATTTAAAGAAAGACATAAATATGCATATGTAAGAAACTCAACAAGCTACACAGCATAAGTCCAAAGACAAATTATAAACTTTTGAAAGACAAAGATGAGAGGAGAATCTAGAAAAAGCAAGAGAAGTGCAACTCACCACATCCAAGGGATTCTCAATAAGAATAGCAGGCAACTTCTATTTTGTTTTTTAGGGGGCTAAACTAATATACAATCTCACCACGGTGTATACACATATCCTTTTCTCTGCAACATTGCCAACATCTGTTATTTTTTGACTTTTTGATAGAAACCATTCTGATGTGTGAGATGGTATTTCATGGTGTTTTTGATTTGCATTTCTCTGATGATTAGTGATGCTGAAATTTTTTTCATACATTCATTGCCTAATCATATGTTTCTTTTGAGAAGTGTCTGTTCATGTCTTTTACCCACTTTTTACTAGGATTGTTTGTTTTACCCTTGTTGATTTGTTTAAGTTCCTTATACATTCTGGATTTTATAGCTTTGTTGAAGGCATAGTTTGCAAATATTTTCTCACATTCTGTAGGTTGCTGTATACTCTGTTGATAGTCAGTTGCTATGCAGAAGGTTTTTAGTCTCAGCTGAAACTTTGAAGGCCATAGGCAGTTGGATAAAACACAACCGTATGTCACATGGAAATGAGACACATTCTGAGAATTATGTCATTAGGTGATTTTCACCAGCGTGTGAACATCATAGAGTATACTTATGCAAACCTAGATGGTATAGCCTAACACATCTAGTCTCTATTGAATAGTTTCTTTCTCCTAGGCTACAAACCTATACAGCATGTTGCTGCACTGAATAATGTAACAATTGTAACACACTGGCATTTGTGTATCTAAACATAGAAAAGGTGCAGTAAAAATGCAATGTAATAATAAAAAGATGGTAAGCATGTATAGGGTACTTTCCATGAATGGAGCTTGCAGGACTGGAAGTTGCTCTAGGTGAGTCAGGGAGTGAGTAGTGAGTAAATATGAAGGCCTAGGATATCATTGTACACTACTCTAGACTTTATAAACACTACACTAAGGCTAAACTCGATTTATTAAAAATTCCTTTTTTAATCATAAATCTTAGTTTAAATTTTTACTTTGTAAACATTAATTTTAAAATGTTTCAATCCTGTAGTAACAGTTAAAACACAAACACATTATACAACTGTACAAAAATATTTAATTTCACTTTACTTTTAAGCTTTTTGGCTAAAAAGTAAGACACAAACACACACATTAGCCTAGGCCTACAGAGGGTTAGGATCATCAATATCACTGTCTTCCACCTTCAAATCTTGTCCCAAGGGAAGGTCTTCAGGAGAAATAACACGCACGGAGCTGTCATTTCCTATAATAACAATGCCTTCTTCTGGGATACCTCCTGAAGGACTTGCCTGAGGCTGTTTCAAAGTTAACCTTTTTTAAAAAAAATAAGTAGAAGGAATATACTCTAAAATAATAATAAAAGTATAGTTCAGTACATACATAAACCAGTATCATAGGCATTTATTATCATTATTAATTTATCTGTAATGCACGTAAATGTTTAATACTTTCATACAACTGGCAATGTAGCAGGTTTGTTTACAACAGCATCACCACAAACACATGAGCAATGCATTGTGCTATGATGTTACAACGGCTACAATTTCACTAGATGATAGGAAACTTTTTGCTCCATTAAAATGGAAAGGAACCACTGTCGTATATGTGGTTTTTCATTGACCAAATTGTCGTTATGCAGTGCCTGACTGTATTTAAAGTGCCAGGGGTGAGGGGAACAGTCAACTGAGAATACTATAAGGATTTTTATATAAATACAAAAGAAACATGTACAATTAGAGTAAAAAAAGGCTTCAAAGATTTTTATTTGAGTTTTATTGAATTTATAGATCAATTAGGGTACAATTGTTATGGGATCTTTGGGGTGTCTTTTCTGGCTGGAAACCTCTGTGACCAGTGGTGCCTTTGCCAGAGTTTTGCTCAGGCCTGCTGGGGCCAATCAGCCTGGCAGGATGTTCTTGGCTTATGCTACTGGCCTGGATCCCATAGTTGGCAAGGGAGACTGCATGGAGTGGTGAGGGGTATGTGAGCGAGGGTGAAGGCTGGCCACTGTGCAATCAGACATACTGGCTGCTGCAGCAGGTCAGGCAGCTCCAGGTTCCAGCATGGGTGCTGGCTTTCTGTGCGGCAGTGGCCAGACCATGCACACTGCAAGTAGCATCCACAGCTGGCACCAGAGAACATGATGGTTCCTGGAAGCTAGGAGATGCCAGGAACCACAGGGCCCCAAATAGGAAGTCACAGCCCCGGCTCGCAGACTTCCCAAGCCTGGGCTTCCCAAAGGGGCTGTTGCTCTTATTTTCTTCTCTTCACCCACAACGTGGTGAGCAAGGGGCATGTCTCAGATCTGTTCATGTTACAGCTCTTTTAGTCTCATTCAGCAGGTCCCGAGTTCTTGTCCTGCACCCAGGAAGAATGAAGTACACAGACAAGTGGAGGGTGAGCAAGACAAAAAGGAACTTTATTGAGCAACAATAGCTCAGAGGAGGCCCTGGAGTGGGTAGCTCCTCTTTGAAGCTGGTTGTCCCAGACATCTGCTCAGCTCTGGCTGAGTCTAAGACTTTTATGGGCTTCAGAGGGGAGAAAATGCATGCTGATTGGTCCATGAGCAGCCATGGACAGGCCTGGAAAAGGCACCACAAGTTCCCACTCTGGTCTGTGGGAGTGGGACTGGAAGCCCAGCCCCCAGCCTTCCGGCATACCTGGCCTGAAAGTTGGGCCTCACCAGGCACCCACCCCCTTCTGCTCAGGAACCTGTCTGCCTCCTGCTGCCATTGATGGCATCAAGGCTTGGCCCCAACTTTGTTCCAAGGTTGCATGGGTGCTGACAGCAGTGAGAAGCTAGATAGCAGGAGCAGGCACTTCTGAGCCTACAAGGGCAGAGGGCTTCCTGGCCCCTCAAAGTGTAGGGATGCCACAGTTTGAGTGGCTCCAGCTGCTTTTGGGGTTGGCTGGGGGGAAGCTGAGCTCCTGCCAGCTCTGTGGAGTGGGAAGCCTGGGTCTGAAGTACCATTTAGGTGACTGCAGCTGTTCCTGGGGTGGGGCAGGGCTCCCCGCTGCTCCTGAGCTCTATGGAGTGTGCAGCCCTGGCCATGCCTCCCTGCTGCAGATGGCATGATGGCAGCAGCAGGCCATTTGGAGCAGCCACTGCCATCATAATGATAACAATATTACTTTGATATGCTATTTCTTAATTGTTTAGTTGTTCTTCACTTTCAACAATATTTTATAGTTTCAGTATATTAATATATCTAACATCTTTTAAATTAAATGTATTATTAAGTATATTAGTTTTCCAGAGCTGCCAAAACAAATTGTCACATACTTGGTGGGTTAAAGTAACAGAAATTCTTTTCTTTCTTCTCTCTAGAGGCCAGAGCCCAAAATCAAGATGTGAGCAGGCCTAGACTCATTCTGGAAGCTCTAGGGGAGATACCTTCCTTGTTCTTCCAGTTTCAGTAAGCTTTCAACATTCTTTGGTTCATGGTAATAGCATTCCAAACTCTGCCTCCATTTTTACATGGCCTTCTTATCTGTGTTTATAAGGAAATTTGTCATTAGGTTTAGGGAAAATTTAAATAATCCAGTATATTCCCAACTTGAGATCCTTAATTTATTTACAGCTGTAAATGCTTTCTTTTTGTAAGAAAGCATTCACAGGGTCTGGAGATTAGGGTATGGACATATCTTTTGGAGGCAAAAACCAAAAACCTGTTTTATTAGATATTTTACATTGTTTAATAATATTGTGGATTTTTTATTTTTAATTCTATCAAAATATAGTTATCAAAAAGAAACAAAATGAATACAATGGATTTTTATATATTGACCTTTTATCTTAAGACTTGATAAATTTACTTGTTAGTTATACTTGTTTTGCATCGTGAGATTCCCCAAGATAATCTATGTAGATAATTATAACTGTTGTGAATAAAAACAGCTTTTCTTCTTGCTTTTTAACTTTTATTTATTTATTTTTGTTTCGCCTTATTACACTGGCTCTGTATTTCAGTAAAATTTTGAATAGAAGTGGTAAAAGTGGGCAGAATCTTATTTTATTTAGTCTTCATGGGAAAGTGTTCAGTATTTCCCAACAGATATTAGTTACAGTTTATTTTGGATGTCCTTATTTAGTTGAGAGACTACCATTCTGTTAGAAGAAAAGCAAAGAAAATGAGATACCCATTTGTAACACTAAATTATGAAATTTTAAAAAAAGCTTATGAATGTTTTCCTTGTATGCATATAATAAATATGCAAATATATGCAATTTTATGTAAAATTACATAAAATTTACATAATTTTATGTAAAAATTACATAAAATAATTTGACAAAAATATTTATATACTTTATTACTATAATTTAAATGCACTAGATAAAATGATAGAGATAAAATATTTCTATGGACCGGTTAAAGTCAGATTAAAACATTTGAGAAGTATTTAAAAAGAGAGAGAATGAAGGGAGCAGATAAAGAGTACCCCTTTGAGATTTTTAAAAATAAATCACAATACAGTTTCTCAAGCTGGTAATTAAGACCATTCAGTGTTGTCAATGTCTGGAATACTCTGTCTCCTCCAATTTTATACCTGGTGAAATTCTAACTTCATTTCAAATGTCACTTTCCAAGTCTAAATAAATAATTATCTTTTGAATGTTAGTTGCAATCCTGTTGTTTCACATTCTATTTTTGCTAGAGTTGGTTTTACCACTTTATGGGTCTGTAGGGAAAGTGCCCAAAGTTATGTATTTGTTCTGCAGCTTAACCCCCTGAGTTTCAAATCCTAGCCCCACAATTACTAAATAGTTATGTGATCTTGGCATCTTGCCCAAGTTCTTGGAGCTCTCTGGACCTTATTTTCCTCATCTGTAAAATCAGCTTTGAAAAAATACCAATGTAATGATGGGTATGAGAATTAAATGTGTTAATGTTTATGAACTCTTAGACAAGGACTGCTCAGTAAGTGCTCTTATTATTTTTGTTTATATGTATTTCTGCCTCCCACATTGAATTGTGACATCCTTGAGGACAACATTGGCTTTTAATTTTTCATAAGATTAGAATAGTTTAAATTTAAATTGATTAACTATATATTTGTTTTGGGAGTCATGCCTCCAAATTCAAATATAATCAAGAATCAAACATTCTTAATGTAGTAAATATTTGTACCTTTTTGATAAATTAATGGCCATTTTTATTGGTAGTTATAGATATTTCTTTGGAATTTTGTCATTTTCAGATAAATTCATTATTTATGAATGATCAGATGGACTTAATTCAAATTTAGGGTATAATTTGAAACTATTCAGAGCTATTACAATAATTAACTCTGACTTGACATAAGCATAATTCTAGAAAATTTAAACTATAAAGCCTTTGGGCTTATATATGCCTTTTCAAAACATAAAATCACATTTCTAATGCCTGTATGCTTACAGGTATCTTTAGCAGAACTTCTCAGAAGAGCTGCACTTTTTCTATTGCATTATCCACCTTTGAAAGTGGTTTAATGCTTCAGCAGGTTTTGAAGGATTCTAAATGATTCCCCAAATTTGGCAAGACCTGTTTGTCCAACTACAGATTGATTTCTATGTGAAAATGTGCAGTGCTTATCTGTGGGACATAATGTGCACCCAAATATTCAATTTAGAACTCTCAGAATCTTTGAAATTAGAAAACAACTCTGGGAACGAATTAATTAGAATAAAAGGAGATCGAGACTATTTACTGTTAGTTAGTTTATACTATGTCTGATGTTGCTACCATATAAGGCGTATTAAGTTAGTTAACTTGTAATGTCTGAGACGAACATGACTGGGAAGTTTTGTGCTGATTCCTAGGCCTCACCCTCAGAAATTATAACTTATTTGTTCTTGGGTAGGGCTCCAGCCTGGGTTATATTTAAAGTCCCACAAATGATTATAATGTTTACTCTAGGTTAACCCTTCTGGTGTACACGTAGTGATACCAAGTCTAATTCCCCTTTTTCCTCAAAGACCTTTTGTTAGGCAGAATTGGTAAAATGGCCACCAAAATATCCCATTTTGATCCCCAGAAACAGAATATTGTGCTATATCACTTTGGTGATTGTGTTATTTTATACAACATAGTTGATCTTAAGGCAAGGAGCATATCTGGTAGTTTTGGGATAATTACACAAGCTCTTAAAAGCATAGAACGATATCCACATGGTGGTAGAAGGGAATGTCAAACAGATTCAATGCACACAGGTGATTTAATGTGTTATTGTTGGCTTTGAGGATGGACTTGGCTCCATGAAAGGAAACTGGAATATATCCTCTAGAAGCTGAAGTCAGCCCCTTATTAAGCATTGTTAAGGAATTGAGGTCCTCAATTATACCATCTCAAGGAACTAGATTCCACCAACAATTTCAATGAATTTGGAAGCAGAGTTTTCTTCGGATACTCCAGATAAGAACATAGCTTGGATGACACTCCAACTTTGATCATCAAAGCTTCTAAGCAGAGAACACAGTCAAGCTTGCCTAGACTTTTTACCTACCAAACTGTAAGCTAATGGGTATTCTTTTAAGCCACTAAATTAGCGGTATTTTTAATCCAACAATAGAAAACTAAAATATTCTTCAAAGAAACTCTTTAAACCACATCTCTAGACCTTTTATTCTTGTTTTTGTAAACCAATGCCCAAAACTTAATTTTTATGTTAAATATTCTCTACTATGCTGTATGTCAGTATGACCTCTGCTAATTAACTATCTCCCAAATTCTTCTTTTCTGCCTGCAGAAACTACACTGCATACTCAGTGAGTTTATTACTCCTTGTGAAATAATTTCCTGCTGCTTCTTTCATGGCTGAAACCTATTTCTTCCCCAAGGATGTCACTTTCTCTTTAGCCTTCCAACTGATGCTCTTCATTTCCACTTCTAGCACAATTCTCTATCACCTTCCAGGAAAACTGATAAAACCACCACCATAAAAGCTATACAAAGCTCTATTATCCCTATTACTGTTTAAATACTATCCTCCCACCAATCTTTTGCTTACTCCTAATAACTGGCACTATTGAATTCTTAGTAACTGCTTCTCTTTCACAAAATAACATGAGTCAACTCTTTGAATAGCTTATCCATACACTATGTGGGTAAATTTCATTCTGATAACTTTGTCTTGCAGTTTCTTAACCTCCTGATTTACAGTGACCTATTTTTTTTAATGCCTTCTCAGCATACGGGAACTTTTGATCCCCTGCTGTCATTCTAATCTCTAAAATCACCAGTTCAAACATAAGAAAAATCATAAAAAAATTTCTTTCTCATCAGGACATCTGGTTCACAGATCCTTCTCCGTTCTGTCAGTCCTTTCTTCATTCTTTTCTTATTTAGCATAAAATTCATAGCACACTCATCCTTTAACAATCTGAATTCCCTTGAATTTTCATTGTCATTGAATGGCAAAAATACTAATGAATAATTTTTTTGGGTGCTTTGTTAGATATAGTCATAAAAAGGATGTTGCAAATGTGATAAATTTAGGATCAATAACCTTAAATATGACCTCAACAGAGTTTGACATTTTATTCCTACTGCCATAATACTATGTTCAAATATTTTTATTCTTACAACTATAATTCTGTGTTCAAATTCAATACCTCAATTTGCAAAAACAAGCAGTTTAATACCTTTCCACTTTTATAAATATTTGACCTTATCCCACGGAGTCCTCTCCAGTAGAGGGTTTAAGATGAGACTTTTACCAAACTTCTGTGTCTACCTATGTCTACAACTTCTCTTCTGGTACAATGCAAAAGGTGACTATGCAACTATTTTAGGGGATTCTCCAAACTATACTTTGAGTTACAGTTCTTATTGCCACTTTAAGAATGTAAATTTTGGGCCAGTGGTTCATGCCTGCAATTCCAGCACTTTGGAGGCTGAGGCGGGCGGATGAACTGAGGTCAGGAGTTCGAGACCAGCCTTCCCAACATGGTGAAAAGTCTTCTCTACTAAAAATAGAAAAATTAGCTGGGCATGGTGGTGAGCGCCTGTAATCCCAGCTACTTGGGAGGCTGAGGCAGAAGAATGATTTTAACCATGGAAGCAGAGGTTGCAGTGAGCCGAGATCGTGCCACTGCACTCCAGCCTGGGGGATAATAGTGAAACTCTGTCTAAAAAAAAAAAAAAAAAAAAAAAAAGAATGTACATTTTGGCTGTTTTGCCTATGTAGTAGTAGTTACTCTTTTTTATTTCTTTACTTCTCTAATAAACTTGCTTTCATTTTACTCTGTAATAAATAAATAAATTGAAAAAATTTTAAATTTCAACTACTTGCTCTTGTTCATTCAATACCTCCACTTCTCCCAGTCAGAGTTTCTATTACTTTAAAGAAACATACTAAACACACAATATTGATCACAAAACATTTTCCTGTTTCCTGACCTAGTCATCAACTTTCTTTCATAGCTGACTTTATTTTTTCTTCATCAACTTTTTTGTCAGACTCTACTCTGATTCCAGCATAACTTATGCCTCTAGTCTCATGAAGGTTACCAGTGACTTCTGTGTCTTTACATTTAGTGTGTATTTTATAAATATCACCTTGATCGACTTTTCAGGAATACTGAAAATCGTTCTTACATTGGATTTCCTGACAAAATTGCTAGTTTTCTTCCTGTTACTCTGTATTTCCTTTGCTATAATATCTTTATTTACTCAGCCATTAATGTTGGGGTTCATTGAGACTTTGGGACCTCCCTCTTCTCAATATTTATAAATTTTATGTGGATTTATTTACTAGCAAGACATATCTTATCCCAGTGAAAGGCACTGTTCTCGAATAGCTTCACAGGGACCACAGACTTAGGAGTCAAAATTTTACCTTTTTTTTTTTTTTCAACCTCTTATCCAATACATCACTTAGACTATTGAGTTTCCCTCTAATAAATTCCATTTACCCACCTCCTTAATTTCCCAACTTTGCCTGCCCTAATTTTATCTGCCAGCATCTGCTTCTACTTGAGCCATTTTTTTTTTGGATTTAATGAAAGTCACATTTCTTAATCTAAAAATTGAGTTTGGTCCTATACCAATTTGTTCCTTATTCATTTCAAATATATTATTTTTTCCTTTGGATATTTATTGTTTTTCACATATCAGTGGTCTATTTTGTTGTGAGATTTTATTAAAATTTTAGATTAACTTTTGGTACATAGTTATAAAACATGAATTATTAAAGCGATTAATTTTAATTAATAAAGGTTTATTAAAAACAAATCTAGAACTTAGCATTTTTTAAGCATTTAAATTCAGCTTATAAATATTGTTATATTTGTAAATGGAATAACATAAGAAAACTACTTAAATTTTTTTGTCTGCTTGCTCAAAATAATAGGTAAAATTCCCTGAACCATTTTCAATTTATAACTTAAATTCTTCAAATATTTAAAAATCATTTAAAATGTATTATATCAAATTTTCTTTTAAATAGTTCCATTTAATTTTTTTATATTGTTTTAGAGACAGGGTCTTGCTCTGTCATCCAGGTACAGTGGCACAATCATGGCTCACTGTAGCCTCAAAATTCTGGGCTCAAGCAATCCTCTTGCCTTAGCTTCCTGAGCAGCTGGAACTACAGGTGTGTGCCACCATGCCCAGTTAATTAAAACAATTTTTATTTTACTTGTTTTTTTTAAGAAATGGGGTCTCACAATGTTGCCCAGTCTGGATTCCTGACCTAACGTGTTCCTCCTGCCTCTGGCTTCCAAAGTGCTGGGGTTACAGGCTTGAGCCACTGCACCCGGCCTCAGTTTTGTTTTTGACAATGTGAAACAAAGCCTTTGTAATACTTGAGGATCTCTTAAATATAATAAGATAAATTTATAAAGTGAGTCAATTTAAAGTTTCCAAAAATAGTTTACTACTTTTTAGACAAAATCAAATTATCCTAGCTTTTCTACATTCAAATCTTAAAGCAAAAATTACTTAATTTCACATTTTACATTAAGATGTGAAACAATATCTAGGATCTTCTAGTATAATAAGTTACTAATATGCTGTATGACAAATTTAAACAGATTATTCTCAAATTTAATATGAAATGGCTAACACCATGGGCTTGATTTATTTTATAATCTTACTATTTAATAAAGCTCCCTGGAATTAAAAGTACATTTTAAAAAAGAAGTCAATCATTTGAAGGGAGTAGAGATTGTCCTATATAAACAAGGGTTTGTCGGTCAGCCTACTAGTGAGACAGCTAAGAAGTATGTTTTGTCCTGCAAGATACATATTTACACATTTTTTCTAACTTCCTAGATTAACATGGGTATTTCAAACAAAGATCTTCAAACAGAACTGGTTTCAAAAGCTACTTTCTGAGTTCAATTTGCATCACCTGTTTTTCCCAACAGATTTATTTCAAACCTCACTCACTCCCTAATCATAACTTTTTTCTTCATTTAACTCTTAATTAGCAGCACATATTTTAAAATCCAAAATCTGAATATTTTTTAAATGTATAAATCATCCAATTTCAATAGTAATCAATATTCTGTTATTATTTTACCTGTTTTCTATTACCCCTCTCCAATTTTTTTGTCTTGAGTTATTGTTTTTTTTAATTCATTTAAAACAAAATACTTCCTAATTGAATTTTGGTTATTTTCTCATTTCCCTTTCTGGCCAGGGCTCTTATCTTAAAAATACTTAAGTGACATACAAATGCATGCTGAACTTCCCTTATATATTATTTTCATCTTGGGGTGAAATCAGCAGTGTCATGTTAATGATACACTGCATTTTTCCAACTAAAGGTGCTAAATTTAAGTCAGGCTTGAACAGGTAACTCCAGCTAGTTGGGAAGCTGAGATGGGAGGATGTCTTGAGGCAGGAGTTTTAGACTAACCTGGACAAAATGGTGAGACCACTGTCAAAATAAATAAATAAATAAATAAAAACGTTTTGCTAAATTTAAGTTAATTCTGACTTCAAACTCCAAACTTATGTTAAATAAAAATTGTGTGCCTAATATATTTTTATGTTTTTAAAACAAAAAACGTGAGTACTAAGCACAAAAATTTGATGTAATTATAACGGGATATATCACAAAATTCAAAAGAAACATGCTCCATTATGTTTACATGCTTTTGACATGTGATTAAAAATTTTTCTCTTTTTGATTATCATTATCACAACTTTTTACAGATTTCATTTGTATTGAGTAACTATTAATTTCTTGTTGATGCTCAAATATAGTCTAGTTGGTGGAAACGTAAGATTCTACATTCCTCTAAATTTATAAGCATTCTTTCTCTCAGGCAACAAAAAGTCTCAGGTTATGCTTTCCTTGCCCTATATATAAAATAAGACTTATTTTTTTCAGCAGACTCTGGTTCTGCTCCTTGAAAAATAGTATCTGAAAACCAAAAATCTACGAACTAAAGAACACTTGTCAAAGTTTTGAGCTAGAAAAAATGTTTTTTAATAGTCATGAGTTTATATTTATATTTCCTGACAGATTGAATAATGTACAGTATAACTTTAATAACTATAATATAATTAATTTAATTAATATAGATTTGTAACTAATTTTTTGTGATTCAATAAACTATACAATTATCTCTTTAAAATTTGTAATTTATAAAAAAGTTAGCATATATGCTTATTTGTTATGTCTATCAATATTTAAAATAAATCTAAATAGACTTTTTTCTCTTTTAGAAAGCTGCCTAATTTAGTAGCTTAGCTTAGCCTCCTATTTTGCAGTTACTAAGTCTCCTTAAATCCTCAGCTTTTTTTATATTGTTGTTTATTTGGATTACAGCTGGCCGATTATTTTTGTGGTCAGATAAGTCTTGAAAGTCATGGAAACATTGGCAATGCCAAGCATAGTGAAAACTATTTCTATCCTTGCATGGGAGTGATTGAAAAGGAAGCAAAATCTAACCCTAGGCTGAGTCATGAGAAGCAGCTTCCAACTAAACTGAAAAATCAGTTTTAATTTTCTTGAATTTTATATAAATGAAATAAAAGTATTTAGTCTCTTGTCTAGCGTCTCTGTGAGCAAAATTATTTTGAGATGCTTCCATCTTGTGCACATATTCATAGTTCATTGCTTTTGCTTTTTTTTATGAGTAGCAATACATTCTATGGAATCACTACATTCAGATTAGTCATTAACTTGATAAAGGAAATCTGAATTATTTTCCAGATTACTTTTCTTTACAAATAAAGCTACTATAAGCATTCATACTACAATCTTTGTATGGAAATATGATCTTATTTCCACTGGGTGAAAGCGAGGAATGGACTGGATCATATCATAGGTGAACATTTAACTTCTAAGACACTAGTAAACAATTTTCCGAAGTGGTTACACTATGTTACATTTCTACCAACTGGGTACAAGAATTCCATTTTCCAACATCCTGCCTGATAATAGGTGTAGTAAATTTTTAAAAATTATTCAATTTTAGACATATTGCTATGTCTGTAGTAGTATTAATATAAATTAGTTTTACATTTTCCTAATAACTAATGATGTTGAGCTTTTTTTCCATGTGCTGATCTTCTTGGGAGAAATTACTGTTTTGATTTTTTAAACAAATTCTTATTGTTTTCCTATTATTAACTTTGAAGTATACTTTATATATCTTGGATAGTTCTTCAACAGATACGTGCTTTACTAATATTTTCTCCCAACATATGGATTATCTTTTTATAACCTTCACAGTGTGTTTCAAGGAACAGAAGATTTTAATTTGATAAAGCCCAATCTTATATGTTGTTATTATATGAATAATGCTTGTGGCATCATAATATTAATAAAACCTGTTTATATCAAATGTTCTTCTGTGTTTTCTTCTGTAAGTTTCAAATTTTTAGTTTTATATTTAGACCTATGACATTTAGAGTTAGTTTGTGTGTATGTTGTGAGGTATGAATCCAAATTTAATATTGCACAGGGGTATCCAGCATGTTTATTGAAGACTGACATTTCTCCATGTAATTGTCTTTGTTCCTATTGTGAAAATCAATTTTCCATACCTGTTTTATTTCTGTACTCTTGCTGTTATATTGTTTTATTTGCTTATCTTTATGCTGATATGATATTGAATATTTAAGTTTTACAATCAATTTTGAATTTAAGATAGTACTACAAATTTGTTCTATTTCAAAGTTGTTTTAGCTATTCTCAGTTCTTTAACTTTTCTTATGAATTTTATAATAATTTTGTTAATTCCTTAGAAAGTATTCCTACTGTGATTTTAAATAATATTGCATTGAATCTAATGTCAAATTTGAAAGATTCATATCGTAAGTATTTAGCTCTTTGACACATGATTATGTATTTCTCTTCATTTATTTAAGTCTCCTTTACTTTCTCTCAGCAGTGTTTTATAGTTTATGGTGCACAGATTTTTCATTTTTTAAAAAAAATTTATTTTCCATTTTGATGCTATTGTAAATGGTGCTTAAAAATATTTTCTAATTGTTTATTGCCAATATGAAGAAATAAACTAATTTTGCATATTAGTCTTATTTGTTAAATGCACTGCCTTTAGTTGCTTATTTAAAATTTCAGTGGATTATTCCCTTTAATTATACCATCTATAAATAAGAGCAGTTTTACTTCCTGTTTTATCTGAAAGGGATTTTATTTCTTTATCTTCCCTTATTGCTCTGTCTAGAACATCTAGTATAATATTAAATAAAACAGAGGAATTTAAACATCTTAGCCATGTTCCTGAACTTAGAGGGAAAGCATTCAGTTTTTCACAATAAAATATAATGTTAGCTGTAGGTTTTTATAGATTAAAGAACTGCCTTCTATCTTAGCGTGCTGAGAGGTTTTGTGAGGACTGGATGTTAGATTCTGCCATCATTGTTTTTTTGTGTCTGCTTATATGATCATGTGGTGCTTCTAAAATTGTTAGCATGGTTAGAGAGAGTTTTCCATGGAAACAGAAACAATACTATATAAAGAAAGATATCTGAGAGGGGACTTATTAGAATTAGCTCACAAAACTGTGAAGGCTGAGAAGTCCTGCCATATGCTGCCTGCAAGCTGGAAAACCAGGGAAGCTGGTGGCATAGCTCAGTCCAACTCTGCAGGCCTGAGAACTGGGGGAGCTGATGGTGTGACTCTCATTCCAAGGCTGAAGAGCTGAGAACAAGGGGAACTACTGGTGCAAGTCCTAGTTCAAAGGTCAGAGAGCCTGGAATTCTGATGATCAAGGGCACAGGAATATGGGTGTCCCAGGTCCAGAAGTGAGAGACAGAGTGTGAATTCGCCTTCCCTCTGCCTCTTTGTTCTATTTGGGCCCTTAATCATTTGGACAGTGCCCGCCTAGGTTGAGTGAGAATGAATTTTTCTTATGCAGTCCACTGAGTAAGACTTATTTAATTATTTAAGTGACAGTCTATTCCAGAAACAGCCTCTCACAGCCATACCCTAAAATAATGTTCTAAATTGACTTCTTTTTTTTTCAGAACTTATTGTTTTCATTCACTATCTTTTTGTTTTAATTTTTTTTCCAATGAGGAATCAGCCATCATTTTTATCTTTCTTCCTTTGCAGATAACTTTTTTTTTTTTTCCTGTTGGTGCTTTGAAAGTTTCATCCTTATCACTGGTTTTGAACAATTTGATTCTAATATGTCTTGTTGCAATTTTCTTCTTGAGTACTGTGCTTTAAGTTTATTGAGTTTCTGTCATGTTTGGGTTTATATTTTTACCTGATTTGGAAAACAAAATAATATTTATGATTTCTTCAACATTTTTTTTCTTCCCCCTCTCTTTCTTCTGCTTCATGGATTTCAAGTAGTCGAATAGATATTCTTTGTATTCAATACAAATATTGAAACATTTGTATTGCTTTATGTGTGAGTTTAGTAGTCTTTTCTGGATGTTCAGACATTTTAGGTAGCACTAGCTCAGTTCTCTTTCTAGGGAGAACTAGAAAGAGTTCTCAGTTCTAGTTCTAGGGAACCCTACTTGTTCCCTATTACAGAGGTAAGCCCCTCTGTCTACTGTAACCCATGCCTGACGAATCATGATGCTTTCCAGCCTGGCTGGGGCAAAATTGGATTACCTCAAGCCCTGTGTGAGTGACACTGTTATCTCAACACTTCTAGATGAATCTTGTTTTTGGTAGTTTCTTCACACACTTATTGGTACTCAGATGAATATGTGAATGTGACTATATACCAGTCTTTGTTGTTCTGTTTCAATGCAGCTCTTTCTTCTCTGCTACTGTTATTTCAATACTGTCTTGTTTTCCATGTACTTTATCACTGTCTCCTCAAGTCAAGGAGTCTGCCAGACTGTATTAAATATGTTAAATGGATGGATTCTTCCTAACTGCATTGAGGTCTGGAATCTCTCTCTAAGCAAGAATCTGGTGTCATAGTGCTTATATGATTTTTATTTCCTCCATCTCTCGAGATTATTCTCCTTCATTACCTGATACCGTTTGTCCTTCAAAATGTTGTTTTATATATTTTGTTCATTTGTTTTGGCAACTTCAGGCCAGAGGATAAATACTTCCATGTTTCTTTATCTTGGTCTAAAGTGACAGTATTGTTTCATATATTTCTTTATTTCTTCTAGCAGTAAATTGTATTAATTCATAATACTAATCTTTAATAAATGTATATTAAAACGTCAAAATTCAAGCATTCATGAACAAGGCTAAAAAAGTTAATGAAAATCTCAAATTACTTAAAATAATAACTAATATTTAGATAAAAAGAAATTTCAAAGAGCGCATGATGATATAGTGAGCACACTATATCAAGAACACCAGTGGTGAAATAATTCTCAGTTTGAATAAGTACTTTGAATAAATGCAATGAAGTGACTCTTGATGGAAGTTTTTTATGACAATGAAATTTCTTTTGTGTAAGGCAAAATTATGAAGTGATTAAGTGCTTTTTTAAGGCAGTTTTGAAGAACCAGAATAAGACTCAGTGAGGTAGGAAAAGAAAGTATTCAGTGATGCATAAATGAAACAATACCATGATATTTATTTTGTACTGCACCTACTTGTTAACCAAAAATCTCACAGTTTACTTACCTTATATTTTGAAATATATTTTAATTGTGGGAAGCTTTTAAGTAGTACAACAGTGACATTTCTCCCCAGATTAATGACTCTTAGAGTGAGAGTGAATATAATTTTGTTCAACTTTTTACTCAATGTACCAATATTTACTACTTTATCTCTGATATGTGGCTAATCAACTTTTGCTTAAACACTTGCAATGGCTATAAGCTTATTATTGCACAAGGCAGATCATTCCATTTTGCAAAACTCCTTTTAATAAGTACAAATATGTCCACTTATAACTTATGCTCACTGTATCACATCTAACATTTGGAGTACACTGAAGTCTAATCTTTTCTGTCTGAACAAATGTTCTAATATTTAAAAATAATTACCACTGAAATCAATAATAAAAATGCATTTGAGGGGTAACAGAAAAATTTAATATAGCATGTTATATTTAAATATTTTTTTAAAAATTTTGTGAATGTTAAACATATTTTTAACAAAATGTCTCTTTTATAAAGATGCGTGGTAAACTACTTAGTGATGAGTGTCATAATATCTAATATTTGCTTTAAAATGATTTATAAGGATTATTTATATGATAATTAAATAATATGGCAATTATATAAGATGGCATTTAAAACTTGCTTTTGTCAAAGGCATTTACTTCTACTCTTGAACAGGAATGTGTCTCTTTTTAAGTAATAACTTTTTAAATCTATAAACATACTAACTAACTAGACAAAATAAGTTCTATTTCAATACTTCATAGAGGGTAAAAGACATACTCTAGGTTCTAACTTAGTTAACATAGCCGTTTCTTCTCAGAGAATATCACATGAAACAAATGTTAAATTGTGCACTATGTTAGCATGAACTCAGAATGTTCCACTTTGCCTACATTCGCCAGTTGAAAGGTATGAATGAATGGCATATTCTATAAATTTCTAATACATTTTCTATTCATACCACTTCCATGCATTAGAAAGTATCCTTAACATGAAGAGATGTTGAATTTTATCAAGTGCCTTTTCTGGATCTATTGGGATCATCATGTGGTTTTTGTCTTTAGTTCTGTTTATGTGATGAATCACATTTATTATTTGCGTATGTTGAACCAACTTTGCATCCAGGGATGAAGCCAACTTGATGGTGGCAGATAAGCTCTTTGATTTGCTGCTGGATTCGGTTTGCCAGTATTTTATTGAGGATTTTTGTATCAATGTTCATCAAGGATATTGGCCTGAAATTTTCTTTTTTGTTGTTGTTACATCTCTGCCAGGTTTTGGTGTCAGGCTGATGCTGGCCTCACAGAATGAGTTAGAGAGCAGTCCCTCCTTTTCAATTTATTAGAACAGTTTCATCAGAATTGGTGCCAGCTCTTAGTACCTCTGGTAGAATTCAGCTGTGAATTTGTCTGGTCCTCTGAGTAAACTAGGTATTGGAGGAATGTACATAAAAATACTAAGAGCTATATATGATAAACCCACAGCCAATACCATTCTGAATGGGCAAAAGATGGAAGTATTCCCCTAGAAAACTGGCACAAGACAAGGATGCCGTCACTCACCATTCCTGTTTAAGATAGTATTGGAAGTTCTGGACAGGGCAATCAGGCAAGAGAAAGACATAGGGGAAATGAGGAAGTCAAACTATCTTTGTTTGCAGATGACCTGATCCTATATCTAGAAAACCCCATTCTGTCAGCCCCAAAGCTTCTTAAGCTAATAAGCAACTTTGGCCAAGTCTCAGGATATGAAATCAATGTCTAAAAATTGCTAGCATTCCTATACACTAACAACGGCCAAACAGAGAGCCAAATCATGAATGAACTCCCATTTATTATCGCTACAAAGAGAATAAAATACCTAGAAATACAGATAATAAGGGAAGTGAAGGAACTCTTCAAGGAGACCTACAAACCACTGCCTAAAGAAATCACAGAGGACACAAATGGAGAAACATTCTACGCTCATAAATAGGAAGAACCAACGTCATGAAAATGATCATACTGCCCAAAGTAATTTATAGACTCAATGCTACTCCCTTTAAACCAGCATTGACATTCTTCACAGAATTAGAAAAAAAAATTTTTTTAAATTCATATGAAAGCAAACATGAGTCTGAATAACCATGATAATTCTATGCGAAAAGAACAAAGATGGAGGCATCATGTTACCTACTTCAAATTAGACTACAAGGCTGCAGTAACCAAAACAGCATGGTACTGATATAAGAACAGACACATAGCCTAATGGAACAGAACAGAGAACTCAAAAATAAGACAGCATACCTACAACCATCCGATCGTCGACAAACCTGAAAACAACAAGCAATGGGGAAAGGACTTCCTATTTAATAAATGGTGCTGGGAGTGCTGGCTAGCCATATGCAGAAAATTGAAACTGGACCCCTTCCTTACACCACACACAAAAATTAACTCAAAATGGATTAAAGACTTAAATGTACAACACCAAACTATAAAAACTCTAGAAGAAAATTTAGGCAATGCCACACAGGACATAGGTACAGGCAAAGACTTCGTGAAGAAAACACCAAAATCAATTGCAACAAAAGCAAAAATTGACAAATGGGATCTCATTAAACTCAAGAGCTTCTGCACAGAAAAAGAAGCTATCATCAGAGTAAACTGACAACCTACAGAATGGGAAAAGATTTTTGCAATCTACCCATCTGACAAAGGTCTAATATCCAGAGTCTACAAGGAACTTAAATTTACAAGGAAAGAAACTAACAACCGTATTAAAAAGTGGGCAAAAGACATGAACAGACACTTCTCAAAAGAAGACTTACATGTGACCAACAAACATATGAAGAAAAAGCTCAAGATCACTGATTATTAGAGAAATGCAAATCAAAACCACAATGAGATACTATCTAATGCCAGTCAGAATGGCTATTAATAAAACGTCAAACAACAGATGCTAGTGAGGTTGCAGAGAAAAAGGAACGCTTTTACATTATTGGTGGGAATGTAAATTAGTTCAACCATTGCAGAATACACTGTGGCTATTCCTCAAAACCTAGAAGCAGAAATAGCATTTGACCCAGCAATCCCATTACTACGTATATACCCAAAGAAATATAAATCATTCTATTAAAAAGATACATGCATGCATATGTTCATTGAAGCACTATTCACAATAGCAAAGACATAGAGTCAACCTAAATGCCCATCAGTGACAGACTGGATAAAGAGAATGTGGTACATATACACCATGGAATACTATGCAGCCATACAAAGGAGTGAGATCATGTCCTTTGCAGGAACATGGGAGAAATTGGAAACCATTATCCTCAGCAAACTGGCACAGAAGCAAAAAAAAAAAAAAAAAAAAAAAAAAAAAACAAATGCCAGATGTTCTTACTTGTAAGTGGGGGATGAATGATGAGAACACACAGACACATGGCGGGGAACAATACACACTGGGGCCTGTCAGCAGGGATCGGGGAGGGAGAGCAGTTAGAATAATAGCTAATGGATACTGGGCTTTATACATAGGTGATGGAATGATGTGAGCAGCAAACCATTATGGCACACGTTTACCTATGCAGCAAACCTGCCTAACCTGCACATGTACCGCTGAACTTAAAATGAAAGTTGAAGAAAAAAATTACGGCTGGGCACGGTGGCTCAAGCCTGTAATCCCAGCACTTTGGGAGGCTGAGGCGGGTGGATCACAAGGACAGGAGATCGAGACTATCCTGGCTAACACCGTGAAACCCCGTCTCCACTAAAAATACAAAAAATTAGCTGGGCGTGGTGACAGATGCCTGTAGTCCCAGCTACTTGGGAGGCTGAGGCAAGAGAACGGTGTGAACCCGGGAGGCGGAGCTGGCAGTGAGCTGAGATTGTGCCACTGCACTCCAGTCTGGGTGACAAAGTGAGACTCCGTCTCAAAAAAAAAAAATTAAAATTAAAAAAATTAAAAAATAAACAAGAAAGTATTCTTGTTCTTTAGCCTTTACTTTGCCCTAAAGGGAGTTTTTCTGTGTTAAACTTTATTCTTAAATTCAGTTTAGGTGCAAAATATCCAGAAGTCCACTTTTAGCTACAAAAAAAATTAATGTAGAAAATGGTGTACAATAAAATAATGCATATTTTAAACAGAAGAACCCTCTTCTACTTACTATCACCCATTATCTACTGTTCTCTTCTTTTGCTGAGTAAGATGAGCCTTTACTGAATTATGTCTTATCTTCAATGTTTTGCTTTCCAATTGTTATTTAGGTAAAGTATATTGCTCAATTGTTATACTTTTCAATTTGTGATAGCATTTGGATGTCATAAGGGGTATGTAGTATATCATAGTGGGATATGTCATAGTGGGATAGTAGTCATCATAATTTTACAATTAAAATTAACAAATCTTTTTCTACTTGTCAGCTTTTCATTTATCATCAGGGGTTTTCCAAGCAAATTAAAATTGTGAAATATGTATACATGTAATTGTTAAATCTAGACATTAAATATCAAGGGAGTCTATTGTTTTTCTTTTCTCTTTACTGTTATATTTTGTCAACATATTTTAAAAAAATAGTTGTCACGGTTTTTCTAATCTTCCAAATGTAAGGCTGGTAAGTTTTGCTGATTTATTAGCACATACATTAACTGTGTTTTACTGCTGTTGTTATTGCTATTATGAAGAAAATTATTTTTCTCAATGAATCCTAACAGGTTATTGTTAACATGAAGAAACCATAAAAATTTTAGGTGTTCTTAAAATCAAGTGATAAATCAATTAGAAAAATAATATAACCAAGTATAGAAATAAGCAAACAATACTTCTAGAAGAAATTTAAAAAGCTAACTTTTTTTTAATGCTCACAGAAGTGTTACATGTTAAATTGCATGTACACATCAATGTTCCTCTGGTATAGTAAAATAAATACTAACTTTTACCTTTGTAAATTGCATTTGTGGGCAATTTAGTTGGCACAGCTTTTATGAGAAGCAATTTTGTAACACAGATCAAGAATTTTAAAAATGTTTATATCCCTTGACACAGTAATTATCCCATTGATAGGAATCACTCTTATAGAAGAAAGATGGAAAATGAAAAAATGTTTTATTTCTACCATTATTTATAATGGTATTATTTATATTACATTTTATTAAATCAATTATAATGATAAATTAAAATTCATTCATGAAAATCATCTTTACTAGTAATATTTAATAAACTAATTATTCAGGACAAGTCCCCAGATGGCTTTGGTGACCCAGCTCTTTCTCCCTTTTTCGCTTGCAGTTCTCAAGAATAACTGCAGAATGTGCTAGTAATGCAAAATTCTGTGGTAAGGAGGGACGGACCAAAACAGCCTGGGTTCTGTTTTCATCTTTTTCTAGAACAATCTGTCACGAAATGCTTTAGCCCACAGTGTCAAGAGTTCATAGGTATAAAACCCAGGGTGGAGTGCACTTTTGGGATTCTTCAGCTGCAGTGTGGCATGGGGCATGCACAGAAGAGACTCTATGCACCACCCTGGGCCGCTTTCCTAAGCCTTGGTAAATGGGTCCATGGTGAATCCTAGGCTTATGTTGTTCCATGCTGCCTATCTGTGAGTAATAAATTTGCTTCATTTAACATGTTGTGTGAGTGTTCTGTCTTAGTGGACTCGTGTAAGTGGATTGATACTGGATTATGACATTAGCCTGGTTTCAAGTCCTACCCTGGGATTGATACCAGTACACAGTGAACCTACATTGCAATTTTATGTTCATGATTTACCTGCGGTGATGTCATGTGAACCCACAGTGACACATGCAAGTTTATGTACCAAAATAGCACTCTTCAAGAGAATAATGAAGATGATGAGTGTGCTATTTAGTTCTCTTCTTATTGAAGATATCTCACCACCAATATCATACCAGCATTGGCCTTTCAATAGGGTGAACTGCAAAAATATTCAATTATTTTAATGTGTTTTGCCATACTTCAGGTAGAATTGATGCATAAAATAAATCTTACTGCATGCCCATATTACAGCTCAATTTTATTCAGATCTGTTCATCAATTATGTACTGATGTAAATCTTTCTATCTAGAAATATACCAATTTCGAATTTTATAAAATAACGCATTGATATTTCTGTATTGCCAGGGTTGAGATATTATTTGATTTTATAGTCACACGAGTGTCTATTAATTTCCTGCTTTGTATGGATTTAAAATTATATAAAAACATTCAGTATCTGGAGATGATTATTTTCCTACTGTAAAATTTAATCTGTCGGAACAGATTCTGTGTTTCTCCTCTCTTTGGTTTCCTATTCTTTCCTTAAGAAGGTCACCAATCCTGTATTTAAGACCATATTTCCAATGGAATTAAAATCTCTGCCATGGAAAATGACCTTTCTTCACTAAGTCATTCAGCAGAGTAGCCCTCCTCAGTATTCCTTAGTAGCTATCTGATAGATTTTTCCATTTTAGAATAATAATGATTTTAAGAACCTGTTATTTTTAGGGTTAGGGCATTCTTAAACCTTGAGAACATTTCTAGCTTTAACAAACACATGTAAATGACTTCAGCAACTTAGATTGTTTTACATGTTTTTGTCATATTAATGACTGAAACGATTTTAAAAAAACAGCACAAAACTGCTAGTGATATAGAACCAAGATAGAAAAAGTTTGTGTGGTCTATTTTTTTTTATCTTTCTAGGAAATAAAACTTCATTTATTTTTCTATTTCCTAGGACACTAAGTAACTCAACCTTGTATGAAAACAACCATGTGCTCTTTCATGGTACAATGTCTATTTCAATTGAGTAAAACTTATTTTCACCCTTGCAATGACACGTCAAAGTAAAACGACTGCCCTTTCCAGGAAACTCTTTACCTGAAAATGATTCCCTGAAATATCTTTAGCATAAAAAGATGTGTATTGTAATTATATAAAGAGAAACAACTATTAATTCGTAAATATTATGTGCTAGGCACCCAACTCAGAACAGTTTAAAAATAAAAAAAACTATTCTGGAAAACACTATTTTAGTTACAGTTTCACCTGGGACCCTAAGACAGAGAGGGTAACTATTAACATATTCACATATAAAAGTGAGGTAAGAGATTTGTCAAACTAAAATTATAAAATTGTATGGAGTCTCACTGTACTCTAAAACTTTCTCTTCTAAAGTCACACTTCTTAATCTTTTGGACTTTAATTTTTATAAGAGGAAAGGGTGACCAAATTCATGTATAGGCACCTCTTAGCAAACTCTTAGTGTGGTGGGAAACCTTTTCCCTTATTTCGAGCCTAGGGAAATGGCTTCAACACAGCTAATCATTGAGTTTGATGTGTGTTTTTTGAAGGCTGAGGGACTTAGGCGCTGATGTATGACATGTCTAAGAAATCTAAAGGGTAGACATGTGGCTGTATACCTTCTTTGAGAGAAAGTATTTAGGGTGGCATGTTCTCCCAGAGCTTGTTTGAATAAGGACATACTGTTTTCATGTACCCAAATTGGGTCATATGTTTGAAAGAGAACCGGCCCGGCATCGTCTTACATTCTTTCTATAAGGTTGTCTTATACTCCTGCCAAAACTATGCACCCAGTAGGGATGTTGTCTGGCTTGTAAGTGTGAAAACCTAGGTAACCTGCCAGAGGAAATCCATTCTCCTGATTTAAAAGGACAGCTTGTGGAAGACCACTAGTGAGGGCAGAGAAGGGCTTATGAATGTACCTTACAAGAAAAACAATCCTCTTTAACCAACTGCTGAGTGGCAGAAGTGTTAATGCTGTCTCACAATATTGCTAATGCAATGCAAACTTTCTTGCCCCTTAAGTTACAATTGGTTCTCCAATTCTATACTAAAGGCACTAAAATCAGCCCAGCATTTAGGAGAGGTGTGAGGTAGAAAAATAGAGAAAAAGCTCCCATGTGCTCTTTCCCTATAGTAGGCAATGTATTTGGAGCAAGCTAGGTAGGAGGAGGAGAGAAATTTTACTTGGAATGAAGATTGATATTTTAATTATTTACTGGATAAATATATTAAATACTGAACTAATGCACTTTTTAATACTGTAATAACCAAATAACTTTTAATTACCTAAGAGTTATTAGAAATCATATCACGTTTTATTTTTTATCCAAAGGAGCAATTGGAGTGACAATTGAATAAACAGCAGAGAAAATGTCATTTTCTGTATATATTCAATAAGCCTAACTTTTTACATAAAATATATGTTTTCTACATCCACTAACCAGCCATTGTCCCTGAATAGGTAAGTATAAATATACCCCTTTAATAAATGAATGAATTGAGACTCAAAGTAATTAAATAGTTAAACCATGGTTACATAATTGACAAAGACCAAAGCAAAGCTTCTGATCCATGAGGCACTGACTTTAAATTCATTAAGTTATTTCCACTATCTAATGCAAATATACACAGCTTTGGATTTTTTTGTGATAAACTTGCATATGTGCTTTGCATTTGAAATTTCTTCTTTATTATGAGGAAGAATGAAATTGAAAGGAAAGGCAATAAATAAACACTAAAATATCCTGAAATGTGATATAGTAAGTATTATGAAACATAGGTAGACAAGAAGTAGGTATGTCCATTTGTCTATCTATCGATCTACCAATCATCTACGTTTTGATCTATCATCTATTAACTCCCTTATGGCAGAAGTGACTTAGATGAATAAACATATAGTATTTTATTAATAATATTACTCTACAAATTAAAAAAAGCTACTAAACTTTTTTATTATCAGATGAAATTTATTTAAAATATGAGATTTCTTATAAAATTATGTTATTATCAGGGTATCCAATATTTTGGCTTCCCTGGGCCATGTTGGATGAAGAATTGTGTTGGGCCATACATAAAATACACTAACACTAACACTAACTAATTAGCTAAAAAAAAAATCTCAAAACAATCTGATAATGTTTTAAGAAAGTTTACAAATTTGTGTTGGGCTACATTCAAAGCCATCCTGGGCCACATGCAGCCCGCCGGCTGCACGTTGGACAAGCTTGTTATAAGGTAAAATAAATTCTTAAAAGCAATTCTGTTTTAGATGAAAGTATTTAATCCATTTCCTCAGGAAAAAAGAAAAAAAACCATCTTTTTCTCTTTTTTGGGGGGAGTACTAATCCTTCAATACAGTCATTTGTTTTTAAGTTTACTCATCCTTGGCAATATTCAGTGTTATTTGTGTTATCTTACTTATATCAAAATTGTGTGCATCCTTGTGAGGTTTTAAATTCAAAATGGGGAGTTTTTTTCCATAGAGAATTTTTACTACAATTTGACTTGTAAGACACATCATCAGAGAAGACAGGAAAGTTTAACATTGAAACTTATTAAGTGCTAGTGGTACACTTTTCAGATTCATTAAGGGATTAAGATTTGTGTCCTTCTGGCTGTTTCAAATTTGGTGATACCTGCATTAAGTTAAAAGTCCAAATTCCTACATAAATAAGAGAGGCAAGTTCTGTGATGCAACTGCTATAAGGAGCTGTCACTCCAACGTCAGTTCTGGAAGCACCAATTTAGTTGCATGTTATGAACTTTACAAGTGATATCTGGTAGGAAAAATAATTTTTTTAAAAAATTTTTTTCTTCACTTGGGTGGCAGTTAAATAAATGAGTGTTTTTTAAATAAATATATATTTTCATCTATATATTTCTTTTAGGCTGGGCACGGTGGCTCACGCCTGCAATCCCAGCACTTTGAGAGGCTGAGGCAGGTGGATCACCTGAGGTCAGGAATTCATGACCAGCCTGGCCAACATGGTGAAACCCTGTCTCTACTAAAAATACATAAATTAGCTGGGCGTGGTGGCAGGTGCCTGTAATCTCAGCTACTTGGGAGGCTGAGGCAGGAGAATCGCTTGAACCCAGGAGACAGAGGTTGCACTGAGGCGAGATCATGCCATTGCACTCCAGCCTGAGTGAAAAGAGCAAAACTCTGTCTCAAAAACAAAAAACAAACAAACAAACAAAATATATATTTCTTTTATACTTTTTAAATATGGATGTTATGTTTCACAATAAAAATATATGTATTTTGTAAATGGAAGGAAACCACAAGTATATTAGGAAAAAAAGAAGTACCTAGCAAAGCAAAATGAAATGTGAAATATAGTGAACAAAGAAAAATATTTAAATGAATAAAAACAATTAAAGAATGTTATTTCAGCCTAGAAGTACTATGCCCTTTCAATCTTTTAAACAGAGTACAGTGGACATATTGATGGTTTATTATACAAGTCATGTATTTACCATCAGAAATGTCATGTATAAAGGATCAAAATATGTAATTAATAAGATTGGATCTGGACAATGTCATTTTACATGTACGATTTTACTATTTGCTGGTACAATGAACTACTTACATTTTGTCATTAAAATATGTATGCGTTTTGGAAAATACCTATATACAAACTAAATGTATTGAATAATAAAATAAAATACAAAAGTCATGGTCAATTTGTGTGCCCATTTCTTATAAAAATCTCTGTGGTTTAAGATCATTATTTATTGTAATTTTAGATACACAATTTAAAATTATGTAAATAATGGTACAATGTTGGCAGATAGTTGAGATTAAAAAAGCTCTTACTCATTCATCTAATTTAGGTTTTTAGAGCTTTACGTTCAATAAAAAAAATTTGAATCAATTCACATGTCACACATTCTATTGTTGAGGATCACCATATTCCATGTGATTCTTTAACACAGAAAACTATAATATTAATATTATTTTTTATTTTATTCGTTCTTACTTGCAGTAATATTGCTTCTTTGTAATATTTGTAAACAAATCTATATGCATTCTATTCATATGTAAGAAATGCATTGCTGGTTATATTGGAAAAATAATTAGCTGGAAATATTCATGGATAATGATAGTATACAACAGAATAACCAGTCTGATTGTACAGTCTGAATTATTTGGTCAATAATTACATACACCAATCAGAAGTAAAGAAGGATTAAACTAATAGAGTGATCAATGCCTTAATATTACATAGATAATAATGACAACCAGAACAGTGTTGTGAATCATATTATCAAATGCTTATTCTGGGCACAAAAATACCAATTTTATTTCAATTATTTCTGAAAAATTTCAGAAATAGAAGTAGCTCTTGCAACAAAGCATGAGACATATAGCTGTCAGGTAGTTTACTTCAGGTGATAGTTATTGTCAATTTATCACTGTCCAAATTACTGTCAGTCAAAATGTGCTCTTAACTGTGATGATGAGTCAGTCTCCTGTGGAGAGAAATGCATAGTTTAATTCACAAAATTTATAGAAAATGTAAAAGCTTATAAGTTAATATGAAAGAAAAAATACTATTTGAAAATTGGTAATTTGACTAAGACTTTCTCTATCTCTAAACTAATGAGAAGTTAAATTAAAATAAGAAATTTGAACAAGAAATTTTGTTTATGGGAGTCGATTTCATATTTTTAGAGCTTTTTTTTTTTCTTTGAGACGGAGTCTTGCTCCGTTACCCAGGCTGGAGTGCAGTGGTGCAATCTCGGCTCACTGCAAGCTCCGCCTCCTGGGTTCACACTATTCTCCTGCCTCAGCCGCCCGAGTAGCTGGGGCTACAAGCACCCGCCACCACGCCAGGCTAATTTTTTGTATTTTTAGTAGAGACGGGGTTTCACCATGTTAGCCAGGATGGTCTCAATCTCCTGACCTCGTGATCCACTTGACTCAGAGTAGTAGATAAAGAATACTGCTTTAAAATATATATTTTTTGTAATTTTTTCTTTTTTTATTTTCTTTCATATTTGTTTAGTGCGTGCAGCGTGATTGACATTTTCATGCATATACACATAGTGAAATGATCACTAGAGTCATGCAAATTAACATATTCATCTTCTCCCAGAGTGACCTTTTTTGTGTGTATGGTAGTAGGATCTGAAATCTACTCTTGTAGCAAATATCCAAAGTAAAATACAATATTATTAACTATAGTCACCATGCTGCACATTAGAGCTTTAGACTTATTCATCCTGTCTAACTACAACTTTGTACTTGTATAGCAATATCTCTCCATTTCCTCTCTCGCTGTCCCTGGTAAGGACTGATCTACTCTCTATGTATTAATTATTTTTAGATTCTACATATAAGTGAGATCACTCAGTATTTTTCTTTTTGTGTATGGCTTATTTCAATTAGCACAATGTCTTTCAGGTTCATCCATGTTATTTCAAATGGCAAGATCTCCTTTTTTAATGATGAATAATTTCTTTTCCATTCATCTGTTGATGGACGCTTAGGTTGTTTCCATATGTTGGCTATTGTGAATGATAATGCAATGAACATAGGAGTGCACATTACCTCCATGAATTATTGATTTAATTTTTTTCCAATGAAACAAAAAATCCTGGGTGTAATTCCAGAAGAGAAAATGCTGGAGCAACAACAATCTGTCCAAAAAAGAAGTCAAGAAAATTATTCCATTTATGATTGCATTCAAAAGAATTAAACACTTAGAAATAAACTTAATCAGGGAGATGAAAAATCTGTACACAGAGGAGCTAATAAACATTAATGAAAATAACTGAAAAATATACAAATAAATGGAAAGATATTCTGTTTATGGACTTGAATAACTCAAATTGTTAAAATGTCCATTCTACCCAAAGCAATATATAGTTTCAGCACATCCCTATCAAAATTCCAGTAGCATTTTTCATATAAATAGAAAAATTCTAAAATCTGTATGGAACCACAAAAGACCCTGAATAGTCAACGCAATCTTAAGAAAGAAGAACAAAATTGTAGGCATCACACTCCCTGATTTAAAATTTTATTACAAAACCCTAGTAATCAAAACATTATGGTATTGGCATACAAACAGACACATGGAATAACAGAATAGAGAGTCCAGAAATAAATCCAGCCATATACAATCAACTGATTTTCAACAAGAGCACCAAGAAGATATGATGTGGAAAGGACAGTATCTTTAATAAAGGTGTTGAGAAACCTGGATTTCCACATGGAAAAAAATTAGACCCTTATCCTACACCATATGCAAAAATCAACTTCATCCAAAATGACAATCCGTCCAAAAAAGAAATCAAAAAAATAGTTTCATTTATGATTACATCAAAAAGAATGAGATACCTAGATATATATTTAACTAGGGAGATGAAATCTGTACACTGAAAGCTAATAAGCATTAATGAAAATAATTGAAATGACACAAATAAATAGAAAAATATTCTGTTACGAATTGAAAAAGAGTTAAGACTTAATATAAGATGTGAAACCCTAAGGTACCCAGAAGGAAGCATAGGGGAGAAGCTTCTTGACATTGGCCTTGGCAATCATATTCTTTTGCATATTACACTGAAAATTCACATAACAAAATAAAAAATAAACAAGTAGCACTACTTCAAACTAAAAAGCTTCCACATAGTAATGAAAATAATTGGCCGGGTGTGGTAACTCATGCCTGTAATTCCAGCATTTTGGGAAGAGGCTGACACAGGGAGAAATTGTCCAGGACTTGGAGACAAGCATAGGCAATATAGTAAGACCTCTGCTCTACAGAAATTTTAAAAATTAGCTGAGTGTTGTGGCTCATGCCTGTAGTCCCAGCTACTCAGGAGGCTGTTGTGGGAAGATCACTTGAGCCCAGGAGACAGAGATCATAGTGAGCCAAGATTGTACCTCTAAACTCCAGTCTGGATGAGAACAAGACAGAAAAGAAAAAAAGAAAGCATGACAGAAAGAAAGAAAGAGAGGGAGAGAGAGAGACCGAGAGAGAGAAAGAAAGGGAGAGAGAAAGGAAGGAAGGAAAAGAAAGAGAAAGAGAGGGAAAGAAAGAAAAAGAGAAGGAAAAGAAATGAAGATGAAAGGAAGGAAAGAAAAGAGGAAGAAAGAAAGAAGAAAAGAAAATAGAAAGAAAAGAAAAGACAAAACAATACAAGACAACTTACAGATTGGGAGAAAATATTTGCTAACTGATATCTGATATGAGGCTAATATCCAAATAGGTAAATAACTCATACAACTCAATAAACAACCGAAATGAAAAATAGGCAAAGGATCTGAATAGACATTTTTTCAAAGAAGACATAAAAATAGCCAATAGGATGTTAAGGTCTCCCACTATTATTGTGTGGGAGTCTAAGTCTCTTTGTAGGTATCTAGGAACTTGCTTTATGAATCTGGTGCTCCTGTATTGGGTGCATATATATTTAGCTCTTCTTGCTGCATTGATCCCTTTACCATTATGTAATGCCCTTCTTTGTCTCTTTTGATCCTTGTTGGTTTAAAGTCTGTTTTATCAGAGATTAGGATTGCAACCCCTGCTTTTTTTTTTGCTTTCCATTTGCTTGGTAGATATTCCTCCATCCCCACTGCCAATAATAGACAGATCAACAAGACAGAAAATTAACAAGGATATTCAGGACTTGAACTCAGATCTGGACCAAGCAGATCTAATAGACATCTACAGAACTCCCCATTGCAAATCAACAGAATATACATTCTTCTGAGCACCACATCACATTTATTCTAAAATTGACCACAGAATTGGAAGTAAAACACTCCTCAGCAAATGCAAAATAACGGAAATTGTAACAAACAGTCTCTCAGACGACAATGCAATCAAATTAGAACTCAAGATTAAGAAACTCACTCAAAACCGCAGAAATACTGAACAACCTGCTCCTGAACGACTACTGGGTAAATAATGAAATGAAGGCAGAAATAAAAATGTTCTTTGAAACCAACAAGAATGAATACACAACGTACCAGAATCTCTGGGACACATTTAAAGAAGCGTGTAGAGGGAAATTTATAGAACTAAATGCCCACAAAAGAAAGCAGGAAAGATCTAAAACTGACGTGCTAACATCAAAATTAAAAGAACTAGAGAAGCAAGGCAAACAAATTCAAAAGCTAGCAGAAAACAAGAAATAACTAAGATCAGAGCAGAAGTGAAGGATATAGAGACATGAAAAACCCTTCAAAAAACCATGAGTCCAGGAGCTGGTTCTTTGAAAAGATCAACAAAATAGATAGACTGCTAGCCAGACTAATAAAGAAGAAAAGAGAGAAGAATCAAATAGACACAATGAAAAAAATGATATAGGGGATATCACCACTGATCCCACAGAAATACAAACTGCCATCTAGGGAAATAACTAGAAAACCTAGAAGAAATGGATAAATTCCCGGACACATACACCCTCCCAATTCTAAACCAGGAAGAAGTCAAATCCATGAATAGACCAATAACAAGTTCTGAAATTGAGGCAGTAATTAATAGCCTACCAACCAAAAAAGTCCAGGACCAGACAGATTCAGAGCTGAATTCTACCAGAAGTACAAAGAGGAGCTGGTAACATTCCTTCTGAAACTAGTCCAAACAATAGAAAAAGAGGGAATCCTCCCTAACTCATTTTATGAGGCCAGCATCATCCTGGCCCAAAACCTGGCAGAGACACAACAAAAAAAGAAAACTTCAGGCCAATATCCCTGATGAACATGAATGTGAAAATCCTCAATAAAATACTGGCAAACCAAATCCCGCAGCAAATCAAAAAGCTTATCCACCAAGACGAAGTTGGCATCATACCTGGAATGCAAGGCTGGTTCAACATACACAGATCAATAAACATAATCCATCACATAAACAGAACCAATGACAAAAACCACAAGACTATCTCAATAGATGCAAAAAAGGCCTTTGACAAAATTCGACACCCCTTCATGCTAAAAACTCTCATTAAACTAGGTATTTTTGGAACATATCTCAAAATAATAAGAGCTATTTATGACAAACTCACAGCCAATATCTTACTGAATGGGCAAAAACTGGAAGCATTCCCTTTGAAAGATGGCACAAGAAAAGGATGCCCTCTCTCATCACTCCTATTCAACATAGTGTTGGAAGTCCTGGCCAGGGCAATCAGGCAGGAGAAGGGAATAAAGGGCATTCAATTAGGAAAAGAGGAAGTCAGATTGTCCCTGTTTGCAGATGACATGATTGTATATCTAGAAAACCCCATCGTCTCAGCCCAAAATCTCCTTAAGCTGATAGGCAACTTCAGCAAAGTCTCAGGATACAAAATCACTGTGCAAAAATCACAAGCATTCTTATACACCAATAACAGACAAACAGAGAGCCAAATCATGAGTGAATTCCCATTCACACTTGCTTCAAAGAGAATAGAATACCTAGGAATCCAACTTACAAGAGATGTGAAGGACCTCTTCAAGGAGAACTACAAACCACTGCTCAATGAAATAAAAGAGGATACAAACAAATGGAAGAACATTCCATGCTCATGGGTAGGAAGAATCAATATTGCGAAAATGGCCATACTGCACAAAGTAACTTATAGATTCAATGCTATCCCCATCAAACTACCACTGACTTTCTTCACAGAATTGAAAAAAAAATACTTTAAAGTTAATACACCACCAAAAAAGAGCCCTCATAGCTAAGACAATCCTAAGCAAAAAGAACAAAGCTGAAAGCATCACACTACCTGACTTCAAACTACACTACAAGGCTACAGTAACCAAAACAGCATGGTACTGGTACCAAAACAGATGTATAGACCAATGGAACAGAACAGAAATCTCAGCACTAACACCAAACATCTACAACCATCCTTTCTTTGACAAACCTGACATAAGCAAGCAATGTGGAAAAGATTTCCTATTTAATAAATGGTGTTGGGAAAACTGGCTGGCCATGTGCAGAAAACTGAAACTGGACCCCTTCCTTACACCTTATACAAAAATCAACTCAAGATGGATTAAAGACTTAAATGTAAGACCTAAAACCATACAAATCCTAGAAGAAAACCTGGGCAATACCATTTAGGACATAGGCATCAGCAAAGACTTTATATCTAAAACACCAAAAGCAATGGCAACAAAAGCCAAGACTGACAAATGAGATCTAATTAAACTAAAGAGCTTCTGCACAGCAAAAGAAACCATCATCACAGTGAACAGGCAACCTACAGAATAGGAGAAAATGTTTGCAATCTATCCATCTGGCAAAGGGCTAATATCCAGAATCTACAAAGAATTTAAACAAATTTACCAGAAAAAATCAAACAACCCCATCAAAAAGTGGGCAAAGGATATGAACAGACACTTCTCAAAAGAAGACATTTATGCAGCCAACAAATATATGAAAAAATGCTCATCATCACTGGTCATTAGAGAAATGCAAATCAAAATCACAATTTGATACCATCTCACACCAGTTAGAATGGTGATCATTAACAAGTCAGGAAACAACAGATGCTGGAGAAGATGTGGAGAAATAGGATCACTTTTACACTGTTGGTGGGAGTGTAAATTAATTCAACAATTCTGGAAGACAGTGTGGCAATTCCTCAAGGATCTAGAACTAGAAATACCATTCGACCCAGCAATCCCATTACTGGGTATATACCTAAAGGATTATAAATCATTCTACTACAAAGACACATGCACATGTATGTTTATTGTGGCACTATTCACAATAGTAAACACTTGGAAACAATCCAGATGTCCATCAATGATAGACTGGATAAAGAAAATGTGGCACATATACACCATGGAATACAATGCAGCCATAAAAAAGGGATGAGTTCATGTCCTTTGCAGGGACATGGATGAAACTGGAAGCCATCATTCTCAGCAACTTATCACAAGAACAGAAAACCAAACACTGCATGTTCTCACTCATAAGTGGGAGTTGAAGAAGGAGAACACATGGACACAGGGAGGGTAACATCACACACTGGGTACTGTTGCGGGATGGGAGGCTAGGGGAGGGATAACATTAGGAGAAATACCTAATGTAGGTGATGGGTTGATGGGTGCAGCACACCACCATAGCAGGTGTATACCTATGTAACAAAACTGCACATTCTGCACATGTACCCCAGAACTTAAAGTATAATTAAAAAGAATAAAAATAAATAATTAAATACAATGTGAACTATCTCCCCTCTAAAAAAAATGACCAATAGGTACATGTAAAGTGCTCAACATCACTAATCATCAGGGAAATTGAAGGAAAAACCCAGTGAGATATCACTTAACACATGTTAGGTAGGCTATTATCAGAAAAGACAAGAAATTACGGATGCTGGCAAGCATATGGAGGTTTCTCAAAATATTAAAAATAAAATATAGTGTATTAATGGAAAATTTGAAGTATAGCAAGATCAACAGTTCAGGCGATGATTGCCACTAATAAAAACGGTTTATTATTACTTTAAATAATAAAACTAAGCAATTTATCTTATTCACGAATTGATCTTCATTGACTATGAACATGTCAGCATTTTTTCTTTAGTTGAACATAACATTCTCTATAAATTTCCATTTATTTATGCAGAATGAATTTCATTTCTAAATACAATATAATTAGGAGATAAACTCTCAACAATTTAGTTTTAAAGATAATTACAAAACCTTTTTAGGTTTAAATGGTAGCACTGTTTTATAAATAAATGAATTATGACTATAAGAATTTACTGGTATAGTATAACTGGGAGTTATTTCTTGAAGTCAAAGCATTAAGGAAAATTCAATTGGAATATCATCAGGCCAATAATTAAATCTCATAACGATTTAGGTTAATTGGTTTAAACATAAGTTTGAAGTATGCAATACTTTAAAAGTAATATTGTTTCGTTATTATTTTCAAAGAATGACAACAAACTAACTGCTAACAGCTTCTTGTTAGAACGATATTCTGCCAGATATCTAACTTTAGTGAACACTAAATATTTAGGGAAAATTAACACATTGTTATATGCAAAATTAAAACATTAATCTATATATCACCCTACGAACTAGACAATTATGTCCTTTTCCCAGTTTAAACACTTATCCTGCTATATCACATACATATATTTATATACGTGTGTGCATATATATACATATATTTAAATTTTAAGTTTTTTTTCTTTTTTTTGAGACGGAGTCTCACCCTGTCACCCAGGCTGGAGTGCAATGGTGCGATCCCGGCTCACTGAAACCTCGCCTCCTGGGTTCAAGGGATTCTCCTGCCTCAGCCTCCCAAGTAGCTGGTATTTTAAGTGTGCACCACCGTTCCTGGATAATTTTTTGTATCATTAGTAGAGATGGGGTTTCACTATGTTGGCAAGGCTGGTCTTGAACTCCTGACCTCATGATCCACCCGCCTTAGCCTCCCAAAGTGCTGGGATTACAGGAGTGAGCCACTGCACCCGGACAAGTTTTAAGCACTTCTTATTTTTAACTGCACATATTAAATCTGTGTTTGTATTATCACATATCTTTAATTTATGGAATCAAAATCAATTGGAGATTAATCCCGTCTATGATTTTTAATTCAATGCAATTTTTAATAAAATCACTCTTCTCATCACATTATGCAAATTTATCCAGAGATTGATAGGTGGATGAAAATAAATCTAAATAATTATTCAACAAGATTAAATAATTTCTAATTCATAATTAGAGTTACCATGATACGTGGGAAATAGATTTTACTAAAATGTTCAGTTTCCATTTAAGCCAGTAAATCTTTGATTTCTTTATTTTTAGTAATTTAGAAGTATATCTATTTCTCTATATAAGTTTATGTCTACTCATATATGCTATCCCAGGGTGATTATCTGCTAGCTATGAAAATATTTAATTCTCAATGTGAGGAGGTAAATATGCTTTTAAAGTAAAATAATCATAAGTGGGATGTATTAGGTCAATCTAATATTTTATGTATTTAATATTTTCTTATAAAATTATTCTATATAAAGTATACTTCTTTTTCTTATTATTTCTTGTTTTTTCCTCTTTCTTCTTTCTCTTTCTTTCTTTCTTTCTTTCTTTCTTTCTTTCTTTCTTTCTTTCTTCTTTCTTTCTGTTATATTTTAAGGTTAATGTACAATGTTACTTTTTATCTCCACTGACAAATGAAAATAAATGGCATTAGATCTGAAAGTCTGCCCACAGCCCTAATTCCATTATTTGGATTCCTTTTAATGTTTTCATATGTTCCATTTAGAATTGGTTGCACTTCGGAATGTTTTGTATGTAGAAATGTGTAAGATATTCCATTGATCTATTTATCTGTTTTGGTACTAGTTCCATGCTGTTTTGGTTACTTTAGCCTTGTAGTATAGTTTGAAGTCAGGTAGCATGATGCCTCCAGCTTTGTTCTTTTTGCTTAGGATTGTCTTGGCTATGTGGGCTCCTACCTATGTAACAAACCTGCACACTGTGCACATGCACCCTAGAAATTAAAGAATAATACTAATGAAAAAAGAAATGTGTAAGATATAATTCAGCTTGCCTCCTGGAAGCAGATGTATTTCTAACACCTGTCACGTCCTCTGGAGGGAGTAGCATTTATATGGTTCTCTCTTTGTCTGCAATCTGACACCCTCTCTCAGGGAAGTGATCAGACAGCATCCCAGGAGATGGATGTGGCCAGCCCCTCACAAGGAGATGTTTCTACCAAGTATTAGTGTATCTGCAGAATTTATCCTCACTGATAAGTGCCTAATCATCCTGCTGTTTAGGTTTTAATTAGTAATTTCAAAAAACTAGTAAAACATTCTGGGATTAATCAATCTTAAACAGAGAAGTTTAATGCAAAAAATTATTAAGCCACAATAGGAGAATAACTGCAAAAATGAAAGAAGACTCTCAAGGATATCCTAGGTCTAAAGAAAGAGCAGCCAAAAAGGGATAAAGTTGGAAGAGATTTCAGAACTTATTGACGAAGGCGTGGTTGCACCCCTCTGCATGGTGGAACTTTGGGGAACTGCTTTATAGTTGTTAGGCCAGTAGAAAGAACCTTCTGGGGTACAGATGAGTCAAGGCTGGTAGGTGGTCTGCAGAGGGAATGAGAATGCCACTGCGGGTTCCAGGCCTAGATCACAGGAATCTAATACACTTCTGTGTAAAGCTTGGGCTGGACTGGGTCAGGCCAATCTGGAGAATGAAACTCTAGATGAGATCCTTCTAATTCATCAGTTCCTGCAGGGCCCTGCAGTGGAAATACTTGGAGCTAAGGAAAGTCTAATGGTCAGGGACCTGGGCTCTCCTTGTTTCTCTGTATCTTTCTCTCTCCCTCCCTTCTTTCTCCACATCTCTTTCTCTTTCCCTCTCCCAATCACAATCTCTTCTCCTTCACATCTTCCTCCTCTTCCTCTTCTTCTTCTCTTCTCCTTATTCTTCCTCCCCTTCTTCTCTGTCTTCCTCTTCTTCCCCTTCCCGTTTTCCTCATCCTTCTCTTCTTCTTCTTTCTCCTCTTCCTTATTCTTTCTTTCTTCTTTGTTTGCACCACTTTTCCTCTTCTTATCCTTCCCCTTCTCCTTCCCCTTTCCCTTATCTTCCTCTTTCCTCTCTTCCTCTTTCTCCTCCTCCTTCTTGTTTTTTCTTTCTTTTCCTTTCACTCATTTTCCTCTTCTTCCCCTTCACCTTCCCCTTTTCCTTTCACTTCCCCTCCTCCTTCTCCTCATTGTCATTCTCCTTCTTCCTCTTCTTTTCTCTTCCTTCCCCTTCTTCTTTCTTCTTATCCCTCCTCCTCTTCCTCTTCCTACTCCTCCTCTTACACTTATTATTTGCTTTTCCTCTGTCATTCAGTTAACAGCCACTGAGATCTCTTTTCAGGATTATGGAGAAGCTTACTGGATATGTTTATGTAATTTTGAGTCCACATATAAGATTTAACCAGGCATCAAGGATTTCACTGGTCTGAGACTGAAATATAAAGCAGCAAACTTCTGAGGCAAGGGCTAAGTAAAACAGGGTCATCCAATCCCATAAACATGAAGAAGTCCAAAGGCAGCATGGAAACAGGAAGTTACCAGACTTCATAGAGAGATTAGACAATGAGTTTTTGTTAGCAGAAACCTTAGCACACAGGAAATCAGAGTTTTTTTTTAACCGAGTTTTCATGATATTAATTAAACCTATAGCAGTGTGATGTGGTCTGGAGACAGTGAAAGTGGGTTCATCAATGACTAAGATAAAAATTTTCAAAACTCTGGAGAAAATGAACATTGAGTCATAAACATTTTGATCTAGATGAAATTATATTATTTTCAAGCCTGAATTTGTGGATTGAGTTTGACATATGCTGATCTTTATAGGTGTCGATACTCTGTGATACAAGAGGTAAAAATGTTTAAGACTTGTGAAAACACATGTATTTATTCATTCATGCCATAAGCTCCTTTTCTTGGGACACTATAAAAACCAGTGATAAAAATCCAAGGAATACAAGGCTCTTAAACTAATTCCAATATAGGTGGGAAAACGCTCCCGGAAAATAGGTATTTTATATTTAATATTACTACATGTATGTATGTAGGTTTGCATGTTTTCATATATATATACACAAATATACATAGACACACATATATATGTTATATATGTCACAGGCACACACACATGCAACACAAGGCCATTGGGTCAAAGACACAGATGGTTTATTTCTCACAACAAAATTAGCAGGCAGAGCAGAATCTTCTGTCAGCTCTGAACTTTGAGTCTCCATAAGGTAATTATATGAGGGCCACATAATTTTTGTATATGCAATGGGATGCACTATAGGGGAAGAATCTTGAAGTTTAGGAGAATGTAAGTCTTTATAAGATGTTTGGTACATATACCTATCCTTGAAAGGAAGAAAAGGAGGGAAAGAAGGAAGGAAGGAAACACAGAAAGTAAGAAAGAAAGAAAGAAAGAGAAAGAAAGAAAGAAAGAGAAAGAAAGAAAATTACCTCTATGGGAGAGACAAGAGTCATCTCTAAGTTTATTATCCTAGAATATAAGGCAACTGTCTCTGAAGAAGGGAAGAGATGATTTTATCTTTAGTGGCATGGGAAATCTCTGGGTATGTATATTTCTAGTTCTTTCTGGAGAAATACACTGTTTCTAGCTTCCAGAGCTGTTTGCTTTTAAAAAATGTCTTTTGCTTAGAAAGCCTGAATAATTCAGTAACGTAAGAAACTCATAAAAATTTGTCTCCCAACAGGAAGTCAACAGATAAATCTCGTTAGAAGTCCAATAGTGGAGATAGATGCAAAGCTGGAGTTCTTCAATCACTTATATGCGGATGGTTGTTGGGGAGGTGCAAAAATTTAGAGGTTTTGTTGAGACGGTTTGGAGGCATGGTTATTTGAGTTACTGAAAGCAGCTAGGTGTTGTATGATAAGATGTAAGTTAGAGGCATTGATTTGTACCAAATATTATAGGACATTGTATCCTTCAAAAATTTTTGGACTTACTGTAAAAAAAAATAGGGCAGGGCAATAATTAAATGGTTTAACTAAAAAGATATCTTGAAGAATTGGGTTATTAAAAGAGCACATTAACGTAATAAAGAATCAATTTTGTATTAAATTGATGTGAATATAAGAATTGAATATTAAAAGACCAGTTAAATCCAGTTAAAACATAATTGGAATATTCTAGATAAAGATACAGATCACTTGGACTAGTCTGGTAGCAGTGGAGATGGAATTACTTTGCTCTAACACAGGCACAGAAATCATAAATATTCCTAGTCTAATGTTAATTTTTCCATATGTACATTAACATTTCTGGAAACTATTATGATTTTTTTTATTGTGATGGTCAAAGTTATATGTGACACCAAACCTCATCAATTGGACATTTGGATATGCTGGAGGAACAGAAGCAGAGGACATAAAGAGCTGGTAAGAAGAGCCACGTGGGACACAAGTAACAACCCATTGCAATTGAGTGGGCTCACTCTGGACCCAGGAAACCTGTTGTATCCAACATGTCTGATTGGCTGGATAGGAGATGCTCTCAGGTGTTTAGAAATTGAAGATTTAGTGAGCAAGTGGTGTGATGGTTAACTGTATGTGTCAATTTGTCAGACTAAGAGATGCCCAGATAGTTTGTAAGACCTTATTTCTGGAAGAGATTAGCTTTTGTGGCCTAAGTAACAAAGAGCACACTGACCAAGGTGGGCAGCCTTCATCCAATTCACTGAGGGCCGGAACAAAGCAGAAAGGCAGGGGAAGGGTAAATTGGCTCTCTCTGCTTGAGTTGGACCTTCTATCTTGTCCTGTCCTTGGACTTTAGTACTCCCAGCTGACTTCCCTGGTTCTCAGACCTTCGAGTTTGGAATAGAACTGAAACATTGACTTTCCTGGGTCTCCAGTTTACAGATGACAAATTGTGGGTCTTCTCAACTTACATAACCACGTGAGCCAATCCCTCTGAATAAATCTCTTTCTAAACATTTTATTGGTTCTGTTTCTCTGGAGAACCCTGAATAATATACTTGAGACAGTTATGGTTCCATTATGTTTGATTTGAATTAGGGAGTCAGCAAACCTTTGGAGAGTACAGGAGCAATCAGGGCCTCTAGGAAGAAGAGGCTGAAAGAGTGACGCAGTATTGAGGTTGACGTCCCTGCCAAAGTGCTAGGATTTGCATAGAGTATTTTGCATTGGTAGAAAAGCAGTGCACACTAGAAACCAAAGAGTGCGGGGAAACTAGCCACAGGACAAAGCTACCATGTCATTGATTGGCCAAAAACACTGCAAAATTAAATATCATTGTAAAATTCATTATATTCTCGAAGGAGGATTTAATGTTCAGAGACATTATTTAGAGTTTGGTTTCATTTTAAAAATTAATATTCAATTTATTAAAGTTACAAATCCCCAAACTAGTTCTTCTTTAAGCTTTTAAGCTCAGCATATGAATTATATTTCTAAGTCTAGTAAACTTTTATTAGCTATTTTAATAGGCTTTTGAATAATGTTTGGTCCTATTTAAAAACTTAGTTAATTAAACACCTTCAACATTTTAAACTGCTTTCATAAATTTAATATATTCAATTTCTTTTTTAAGTATTCCAATTATTTAATTAACAAAACCCTTTTGAATACTTAAATAACTCACATAAATTTAACGTGGTAAGCTAAACCTTAAGTTCTCTTAAATGTTACAATGCTGAATATAAAATTAGTAAATCTATATTAATTTCTCAATTTTTACACTTATTAAAATTGGAATTATGAGATTAATCAGTTGTACTGCTATAATGTCAGAAATTTAAAAATGAGCTGCAAGTGCTTAAGTAGCAAATATATGTCAGTTTTAAACTTCACAAAAATACAACACTATAGCTTTTTAAAAATATATCTCTATACTAACTTCTAAATTTCTCATGAGTTAATGATGCCTATCATTAAAAAATTTCACCCTAAAAATTATCCTAAAGCAAAATTTTGGGGCTCCTTGAGATTGTTTATTGGTCAGGGATCTAAATCATGGGCTTCAACACATTTTTTCTCATGTCCCTAGCTCTCCTGCTGAGCCACTTAATGTCATCATGTCATGGACTAAAAAAGAAGTTGTTGGTTATATCCCCATATTAGAGTCATCATTGCCTAATTTTCAAATCAAATTAGATTCTAGATACTCAACCCAATTATCCATAATATCTAATTGGATTTTAGGAAGTCCATTTATAAATAATGAATATGTGATGATTTATTCACTATTTTGTCTTTTTACCTACCTATTAAACTCTTTTGAATGTTAAGATGGTATCTAGTTGAAGTCTATATGTTTCCCGAACCTTGGTCTAGCTTTACAATCATAACTCCTAAGGTTATTTTCCTGAGAAAAAACCTACTCAGAAACCAAACTCTAAATAATATCTCTGAACATTAAATCCCCCTTCAAGAATATAATGAATTTTACAATGATATTTAATTTTGCAGTGTTTTTGGCCAATCGATGACATGGTAGCTTTGTCCTGTGGCTAGTTTCCCCCCTCCCTTTGGTTTCTAGTGTGCACTGCTATTTTACCAATGCAAAATACTCTATGCAAATCCTAGCACTTTGGCAGGGACATCAACCTCAATACTGCGTCACTCTTTCAGCCTCTTCTTCCTAGAGGCCCTGGATAATCTATTATTTGGGAAAAGCCTTGAGCTCCAAAGCTTTACTTCTGCTGGGGGTGAGCAGCCTACTGCATTACCAGACTTCGTCAGTATCACCCTGGAGCCAGATAACTGAAGCTGCAGGTTGAAAATATCCAATGCCTTTTTCTCTCTTGGCCAGAAAGAGAATTGACAATATCCATCATTCAGGGATGTATTACTAAATATTTAAATTTCCTAGGTCTTAAGTTTCAGTGAGTGAAGAATCAAAAGAACAAATAGTTTTGAGATAAATATTTCTGATCATAAGTGTGTAGTAGCCAAGGTCACAGGTCTGGAGCCAGGTTGCCTAGGATCAAATCCTAACTCTGACGCTTGCTAGTTTCCATAACCTGGGGGATATTGATTAACTTGTTATGTTTTCATTTTCACATGTTGAAAAAGGAATAATAATAACAGAGCCTACTGAAAAAGATGTAATAAGGATTAATTTAGATGACTGCATGTTACAATCACCTGGGTTGATTTAACACAGTCTCCCAGACCCATTCCATAATTAAACTGGAATCTTTGAAGGCGGGCCTTAAGTGATGCTGATAAGGATATGACAATTGGCCAGGAGAGGTGCCTCATGCCTGTAATACCAGCATTTTGGGAGGCCGAGGTGGGCCCTCCACTTGAGGTCAGCAGTTCAAGGCCAGCCTGGCCAAAATCATGAAATCCTGTCTGTACTAAAAATACCAAAAAAATTAGCCAGGCATGGTGGCACATGCCTGTAATCCAGCTACTCTGGAGGCTGCATGAGAATTGTTTGAACTCGGGAAGCGGAGGTTGCAGTGAGCCAAGATCACACCACTGCACTGCAGCCCGGGCGACAGAGACAGACTCTGTCAAAAAACAAACAAACAAACAAACAAACAAACAAACAAACGGAAAAGGAGATGAGAATAGTAATATGTTTATAATATTGTCTTTTATTTTTATTTGTGTAGCTCAATATTAAAATTTTTCTTTGAACTTCAGCATTACCATCAGTAATACATGCATACAGAAAGTAACTACAAAAAATCAGGCACTGTCACACAGGCTTTGAGTAAAAACCTAGTGTTCTAGAATAGATTTGCGGACAAACTTCTTTTTCTACTTTTCTGTCCATTCCCACGGTTATTTTGTCTACTTTGTGTGTTGCCTTGACAACTAAATCTGAAGGGATACTCGTTCATAAGCTGCTTCCCGTGGAGCATAATTTAAATCATTCAGAATCTCTAGTGTGAAGACCCAAACTTTCCTTGAGTATGTGGATAATAACTTGTGAAATCAGAATGATGGTTATAACTGTTCCATACATGAGCTACCACCCGGGCATGAGGAAGATGTCCTAGAATATTCAGAGTAGTTTTGTCTTCAGGGATATAGGTGGGTTCTCTTGTTTGTTTCTTGATCTTCTATTTCCAATGTCATTACCCCCATTTTCTTAGAAATATTCTTTCCTGTTTTAATGATGCTCTCTTCTCCTTATACAGGTTCTGAACTGGCCTATCTTCTGAACCCTCTAAATAATTTCTTATAGGGAATTCTGCCTTCCAGTGCTGATTATGTCCAAAACCTGTCCATGTAGATGCTGCCAATGCCTTCTAGCTCATTTTCCTTTCTCAATATGAGAGTCTTCTCTCTGGCAGTTTGGCAATCAAATAATGACATTTTACCCCATTACTACAGTTCTGTGGACTACCTACCTCCCATAAAATTTTCAGTGGATAAGTTCCACTAACTTGTGTACATCTTAAGACATTCCACTTTCTATCTTCAGTCTGTAACTGTTGGTACATTTTACACATACACTACATGTTCTATGTATGTGGTACATTGCCTTTAGGTGTGCTCAACCCATACCTTGTCTTGCCTGGCTATTTGGTTTTTGTCAATAGAAAAAAAATAGTAAACTTGATGAAATAAAAAGACTTGTAAATGCTTTAGAGAATTTTGTATTCCTTCTGCAACCTTGCAACTATAGCTACGTTAAAAAGTCCGGATTGTTCTCCAGAAGGATAGAAGCATGTAAACCAGTTAACCCAGTCATCCCAGTTGAATAGCAGACATAGTGAGGCCATTGACTCTCATTTGACAGCAGACCCATGAATGAGACCAGCATATTTATCTAGCTAAGCCCAGTACAAATTGCAAATTCATAGAAGTATGATGAAGTGAATGAGTGGAATGTTTAAGCCACCAACTTTCAGTTGGCTTGTTACACAGCCATGGATGAAAGATTTAAAGTACTATGTTCAAGTTGAGTGTGGTGGCTCACTCAAGTACTTCTGGGCAATTTATACTTTGAAGATGTGGGTCACTAGGTAAGGAAATAAATAACTCATAAATTAAAAAAACAATTTGATGTGTTTTTGAAGTCTTATTCAGTTGTAGATATAACAGCTCTTTTCATTTGGTACAAATATAGCCTGCAGTGGTGGTTATATTACAAGATCTGATTCAGATTGATAACTCAAAGAATCTCTGACAGTTCAACGTTTATTTTAGAAATATCAAAAGCAATTAGGTCAAGAGTTTAGCATTTCATTAAAGCATAGCCCATTTGAGCCTTTTACACACATAAGAAAAGGACCTGGGATCAATAGACTTGTATTTTATTAAGCTCTGGAAATTGCTGCTGATTTTCTTTGAGAAAAAATAGGGTGTTCATCCATTTGTTTTTGCTTCCATAACAGAATACCATAGGCTGAGTAATTATAAAGAACAGAGGTCTATTTCGCCCATGATTCTGTAAGCTGCAAAATTCAAGAGCAGAATACTGATATCTGGTGAGTATCATCCCGCAGTAGAAGAGCAAGTAAGCATGTGAGACAGAGAGGGTAGTGGGATGAACACATCCTTTTTATCAGGAACCCATTTCTGTATAACTGTTGCACTCCCAGGATAAGGGCATTAATTTATTCATAAAGTTGGGACCTCATGATGTAATCATCTCTTACAGATACATTTTCTTAATATTGTTACAATTGTAATTAAATTTTAAAATGAGTTTTGAAGGGTACATTTAAACCATAGGAATCAGAACATAAGATAAATTGGAAAATAAGTAAATAATTATGAGAACACATTTTAGAATACAGAGTTTTTCACTTCCTTCACCTTTATTCTCTTTTCTATAAATAACTGATTAGAGGGTATGAGATAAAACTGAATATGGGAAGACATGTTTTTGTAAGACAAAATGATTATCATTACTAATGGTATCAACTTCCAACTCCTACTCTGAAATATCTAAAACTTATGTTTATGGCTGCAGAACTATAAGGACTCTAAAACTGTCTTCCTACCAACCATCTTCAACAAGAAGCTAGATGAAAGAGGTCCAAAGTATGGTGACACAGAGTGCCATGACAGAAACATGTGGAATTCTAGCAAGATGGCACTGCCAACTGAAAGAGAAGAAACAAATGAAAAGGGAACACTAGGGAAGAAGGCTATATTTCCATAACCACTGTACACTAATGTCCACCTAGTGAAAAAAGCAAATATTCTCTACCATCCATACCGTCTTCAAGTTTGTTTATTTTCAGCCACTAGTTAGAAGTGGAATTTATGGTAAACACCTCTAATGGTACTCCCTCAGCATGATGAAGGGCACACAAACAAAGTTATATTTGTGTAGTATTTAATCCCATCCTGCATGGTGACTGACTAGGCCTGGATAAAAATTAGCAGGTATTGCTCTCCCATGGCATGTAAGCTTACCAGAAAACTATGAAATGATGTGTGATCCAATATGAGAATGAATGTATCTGTTAGGAGACAGATAGTGCTCATGGGACTGGAAGAGTCTAAAGTTCAAGAAGCTTCTGTCATCAGACAGCAGGAACTAGGCTTTCCTATTTACCCAAATATTAAGTATATTTTTTATCTCAGTTAAAATACCCTCAAAATATGTAGGAAAAAAATAAGACAAAAACAAAACAAAATGAGAGCTTTGTTTTGTTGCAACAATGTTAAAGAAAATATAATAGAATATCTATAATATGTATCTGAATTTGTATTGTCCCTCTTGAACACAATCATTGGTGTTTTGCCTCTGGGACAAAGTATAAAATGGTATGTTTTCATGAAATAATTAAATAATTTTCATCCCCCCCCAAGTAACAAAATATATTTTGTAAAGACTTTTTTTGGTCTGAAATGTGTCTCCTTTTCCTGTTTCAACAATGAATAATGCTATTTAGGTTTGAGGAAAGATATGCTTGTTTTTCTGTTAGATATTCAAACATTTCTGTTCTTAAATTGTTCATGAGTAAAAGAAATTTATGTACTGATGTGAAAAAATGCATTTATAATTAACTTGTCTTATAAAATCCCAACTATCACACATTTAAAATATCAAACCTTTTAAAATAACCCATAATCAAAATTAAAACAAAAGTGTGTTACTGCTCTTTAGAAAACCTCACACCTTGTATAGTAATTGCTTTGGATTTAGTGGAATGCCCTTCAAAATAATCATCCTAATAATATAGCATTAATAATTTAATATACATTACTGACTACCTACTATGTGCTTGAGGGTAATATACATGATGTTGTTCCTATACATAGATAACTATAACAAAGTTAATTTATAAATTAGGCACAGTGAGAAATTAAAAATAACTAATCATAGAACAATTACAACATTACATTATAATAAAAGTTACATGAACATGGTTTCTCTTCTTAAATTTTCTTAAGTTACTGTGCTCATCTATTTTTGAGCAACAGTTGACATAGTGAAATCTTGAATAAGGAAGAATTACTGCATTAGTAATATAATTTACATGGCTATTTACTAATTTACATGTTGTAATTTTTAAGCATTCCTTTGATTCAGATAGGGCATGTGGTTAAAACATAATATTATAGCCAGATCGTAATGCATTTGTGTTTAAAAGTGGACTCAATTCTAGGCCATTGGTTTTTTAATTACAGTCATTCTATATCTATGGGTTTACAAATACATTACAGTCTGTCTTGAGTTCTGTATGAAGGTGTTTAAAATACACAGGTGGCCGGGCGCGGTGGCTCACGCCTGTAATCCCGGCACTTTGGGAGGCCGAGGCAGGCGGATCACAAGGTCAGGAGATCGAAACATGGTGAAACCCCATCTCTACTAAAAATACAAAAAATTAGCCCGGCGTGTTGGCAGGCACCTGTAGTCCCAGCTACCAGGGAGGCTGAGGCAGGAGAATTGCTTGAATCCAGGAGGCAGAGGTTGCAGTGAGCCGAGATCACGCCACTGCACTCCAGCCTGGGGTGACAGAGTGAGTCTCTGTCTCAAAAAAAAAAAAAAAAAAACAAGTATAGTCTGGTTAAAATGGGGGGTGACAACACATGGAAACGAAACACAAACAGAGAATTTTGGTGTCCATATTCATAGGCATGCTAGTTCTCGATGGTACTTTAATGACAAGTTACCAAGCAAACAACCAAGATTGACTTGACAACATGTATAATTATTTATAAGAACTGAAGCACAAATATGTCATTGTGCCCTTTAAGTTTAAAGAAATAAGATACATCTTAGTTCATTGTCAGTGCCCCAGGCTTCTCCCTTTAACGATATTTAGATATCAGAAATTGGCCAGACTATTTCCCATATAAGTGTACCCTGTATCCTCTTATGCTGTTAACCTAGACTTCTCTTTGATTTTGTTCACTGCCAAAGAGAGATTTTTCCCATAAGTGTGCTAATATCTTTCTATAATTAAACAAATACACAACATTCTGAGTATTTTTCTGCCAGTAATTTTGGAAATATAAACAACAAAAAAAAGAAAAATTGTTCCCTCCTAGTTACTCACTCCAACAGTTCCCTTTTCTTCTTAAAAAAATTGTGTATGTGTGGAATAAAGGGAAGCAAAATATTTAACATAATTTAAAGTGCAGCTTATCAGATAAATATTTTTCAGGGCAGCTGGCATAAGTCAAAGCCTGTATTATTTTGAGTTCTTTAGAAGCAGGCACTAAAACAAGATCAGCTGGGAAATCCATATTATATATTATAATGTCATGTATAATATATATTAGTGTCAAAAGGAGGGATCCAGGGAAGGCTGTGAGGGCTGTGAGACTGTGGTGCTGGTCTAACCTTCTATGAAGGAGAGAGCAAAATAAGGAAGAATGGAAGTGTGTGGTGTGTGGAGTGTGGTGCAGAAATAAAATAATTCAGCAAGAAGAGTATAGCATCCTCCAGTCTAAGTTCTCCAATAGAGAAGTCCTGTGTTTACTGGAAATGGCTAGGCTTTAGCATTCTTTTTTAATGCTCAATCATTGGTTAAGAGTAGCTCATGCAAAATATAGCCTCAGTGGGGACACATTGATGGGTAGCACAGGGCAGTAGCGGGCGCCATCACTCAGCTGTGCATTCTGTAGTTCAAAATCTGAGAGACCCATTCGTGTGAACTCTACACAGTCTTTTAAGGAAAGAGCAGTCTAGGGTCTATAAACAGAATGTGAAGACAATTAGGGGTGCTTCAGAAAAGACCATTAATGGGCTAGGGAAAGGCATAGCAGTGAAGGGGAGGCAGTGTTAGAGAGAAAAGTAACCAATATGTTTTATTTCCTTTCTTTTTCTTATTTATATGCTTACTTCAAAATAACAGCTGTCCTCATAGACAGACCTGGAAATGTCAGCAATATTAGGCATAGGATAGCACTTCAGGCTCTAGCTTGCAAAAAGATAGGGAGAAGGTAAAAATTCCTACAAAGTAACTGTAGGGAAATACGATGGCCTCCCAGTCGAGATGAGGGTCTTTCAGAGAAGGGGTTATACTCGTTGTACTAGGCTTCATGTAATGTATACATCATTTTTATTAATTTAATTAACTAACTTAGTTTTTGAGACAGAGTCTTGCTCTGTCTCCCAACCTGGAGGGCAATGGCATGATCTTTCACTGCAACCTCCACTTCCTGGGCTCAAGTGATCCACCTCAGCCTACCAAGTAGCTGGGACTACAGGTGTGCACCACCATACTCAGCTAACTTTTGTAGTTTTTGTAGAGACAGGGTTTCACCATGCTTCCCAGGCTGGTCTCAAACTCATGGGCTCAAGCAATCCTCCTGTCTCAGCCTCCCAAAATGCTGGGATTACAGGTGTGAACCACTGCACCCAGCCTCTTTTTATATTTTAATAATAAAACCTCCTGGGCCGGGCATGGTGGCTCACGCCTGTAATACCAGCACTTTGGGAAGCTGAGGCGGGCGGATCACGAGGTCAGGAGATCGAGACCATCCCAGCTAACATGGTGAAACTCCGTCTCTACTGAAAATACAAAAAATTGGCCGGGCGTGGTGGCGGGCGCCTGTAGTACCAGCTACTCGGGAGGCTGAGGCAGGAGAATGGCGTGAACCCGGGAGGCGGAGCTTGCAGTGAGCCAAGATCGCGCCACTGCACTCCAGCCTGGGCGACAGAGTGAGACTCCATCTCAAAAAAATAAATAAATAAATAAATAAAACCTCCTAAAACACACTCATGCATCCAGTTCTTGATTTTCAGAATACTATCCATAAGAAAAGTTCTTCCAGTATTTAGTGAATTAATGCATACGAGAATTAAAAATAAATCTTTTTGGTCATAAAAATTTACCTCTGGCAGCTGGACGTGTTGGCTTATGCCTATAATCCCACAGTTTGGGAGGCCTGAGGTTAAGCCAAACAGAATCAGAAAGATCAGGGCCAGACACAGTGGCTCACACTTGTAATCCCAGGAATTTGGGAGACTGAGGCTGGCAGATCACTTGATGTCAGGAGTTATAGAGCAGACTGGCCAACACGGTGAAACCTCGTCTCTATAAAAAAAAAAATACAAAAATTAGCCTTGCATAACGGCATGTGCCTGTAGTCCCAGCTACTCAGAAGGCTGAGGCAGGAGAATGACTTGAACGCGGGAGACAGAGGTTGCAGTTTGCTGAGATTGAGCCACTGCACTCTGGCCTGGGCAACAAAGGAGACTCTGTCAAAAAACAAAAAACAAAAAAAACTCCAAAAAACAAAAACCCATCAGGAGAACTTCCAGTAATCCTAATAGTTTGACCCTTTCCACATGTAAATAAAATAGGAAACAAATTCCAAAGCACTCAAGAGAACAGAGTTAGGGGAGGGTTTATTCTTTAAAAATCTGCAACTAGGAAGGGTGAAAATTGCAAGTGTGTGTCTTCCTCGCCTGAGCCTTCGCCTCAACCTCCAACGCCACGACAAAATAAGCAGAAGAAATCTTTATCTTTATCAACAAAGATGCCAGACAACGGAGTACAATGCTGAAAAATTAAAGGATGGACTTTGGCAGCTAGACAATGGCAGAAAATTTATAGCTATGTCAAAATTATCCATCACAAATAAAGGTGAAAGAATGTTATTTTTACATAAACAAAAATGTGGACAATTTATTGCCCAAAGACCTGCCTGCCCTACACAAAAGTCCATTTTTCTCTGTGTGAAGGGAAATGACACAGGATAGTAATTTCAATGTATAGAAAATTATAAAAACCTTAGAAAGTTACAAGCTCATTGATCAACATGTGTAGTTGTATAATTGAAAATAGAAATAAAAAATAATTCCATTTACTAGAATACAAAAAAAGAAACATAGTAATAAATTTAAAAATGGAGTATTTCTCGTATATTGAAAGCTACAAAATGATACTAAGTGAAACTAAATATATTTAATAGAAAAATATAGCATATTAATAAAATGAAGGAGTCAATGTTATCATAATGTTCATTATTCAAAATGGATCTGTGGAAGTACTATAATTTCAATTAAAATGTCAGTATTTATGTGCAAGTACAATCCACCTAAACTCACATAGAAAAATGTTTCAAAGAAAACAAAGTTGGAGAAAAACATACAATGCAATTTCAAATTTTACTCTAAATTTTAAGTACTTGACATAGGGTGTAATTAGCAATACTATACACATACAGATCAACCTTAGGTCACAGAAACTGACACATGCATATATATTCCATGGCTTTTTCAACACATGCTCCAGACAATTCCATGAGGAAACATTGATGTTTATAATAGCAGTACTGGAACAATTGTACAGTGCTATAGTAAATGATTAATATCAATCTTATCTCATACCATATAAGAAAATTTAAGTCAGAGTGGATTGTATCAGCAATGCAAAAGCCAAATCTATAAAGTTCCTAGAAGAAAACAGAGGGAAAATGTTTGCAACCATGGGACAGGTCAATATTTCTTAACATATAAAAAGCTCAAAACAAAAAAGAAAAGAAAAAGAAAAATATTCATCGAATTTAAAAAATCATTTTGATTTTTGCAAAACATTAATAATATGAAGAGGTAAGTCAAAAAAGTAAGAAATATATTTACATAATATTTGTGAATATATGTAATACACATTGTGATATACACATTTTTGACACAAAAAAACCCTTGTATCCAGAACAACTCAATACAATATATAAGGGGACAAACAACCTAATAACAAATAGGCAGAAATTTTGAGCAACATTAATTATGTGAATGGCAAACATGAAAAAATGCTCATTAGCCTTTGGGGAAATGCAAATTAAAACCACTATGAGAAATTATGACCCACACATTAGATTGGCTAAAACTAAAGAAGACTGAAAATACCAAGTGTTGGACAGAATGTGCAATAACTGGAATTCTTGTAAACTGCTAGTGAAAAACAGTTGGGCGGTTTAAAGTTTTGCATATACTTACTAGAACATGAGTAATTTTACTACTAGGTATTTATTCAAAAGAAATAAAAATGTATGTCTGCACAAACACTTGAACAACTAAAACATCCATCACCAGGAGAATGAATAAGGACATTTTGTTATTTTCAACAATAGACTATTTCTCAAAAATAAAAAAAAAAGCAACACACACTACAGAATAATGGAACAGGGTAAATTTAAGAAAATACTATTTTATTAAATTGCATTAAACTGGTTATAAGGTAAATCAATGCTACAGTTATTCTTAGTATATCCAAAACTTTCAGATATTCTATGTCCTGTGTTGATTTCCCAAATGACGTTTTGAGATGCTTTCTGAATTTAACAGGATGAAGTCATATCCAACTTCACCTTTGCAAATCTATGAGTAATTAAGTCCTGGGAAACAATTAAAATATTATAAAATGAGGAATTCTTTAGGAAAAAATATTTATTTTAGTGGCATTAATTATAAGAAAGAACATATAAAATAATCATTTTGAAAAATTATCATTTGAAAACTCTCACTTTTCATTTAGGTTTATTTTACAATAGCATTTATTAATGCATTGTAGACTATTGACAATGCTAAACAACATTGCATCTCAAAAATATAAAGTATGCAATTTTGAAAACTATGAGTACTGTTATTCTAAATAAAACATTATTTCACTGGCATATTTTTTAAACTAAATCACATTTTCTTTAGAATTATTTCCAACATATCTCCTTTTATGCCACACTATTAATTTTATGTATAGGTATCATAGTATTCCACGTAACAATTAACATTTGAATCAAAGTTATAAAAATATTTAAGTTTTAGTCAACACAGAAATTTAAAAAATCAAAAACAATGTTTTTATTAGCCAGGGTTATCCAATAGAACTTTCTTCAATAATGGAAGTGTTCTACATCTATGCTGTCCAATGTGAAAGCTACTAGCTACAAGTGATTATTAAGCACTTGAAATGTGCCTAGTGAGTTAAGTCTTAAATTTTTTAATTTTTAAATTAATTTAAATAACCACAAGGCTACTCTATTTAACAGCTCAATTATAGATAACAATACAATTGCATTAAATTATATGTGTGTGTGTATATATATCTATAGATAGATAGATAGATAGATGGATAGATATAGTGGTTTTTATGTGAACGGAAAAATTATACTTCTCTGGGATAAACATCCAGGAGTACAATTGATGGGTCACATGATAGTTGTAATAAGTTGCCAAATGCTTTGCTAGAGTTGCTGTACCATTTTATATATTCATCAGCAATATATAAAAGATGTTTTCTTGCATCCCTGCCAGTTTCATGTTGTCACTATTTTTTATTTAAGCCATTTTAAGTGCGAAGTATTATCTAATTTTGTTTAACATTTGTGATGAATGATATTGAAATATTTTCACGTGACTTTTGCTGTATATATATTTTCTTTGGTACAAAGTCCCTTTGCATTTTTAGCACATTATTTAGTTGGATTGTTTGCTTTTCTTACTGCTACATTTGAGACGTCCTGGTCTATTTAATACACTCCTCCATTGTCAGATATGTGGTTTGAAAATATTTTGCTGCAGACCTATCTTGTATTTTTATGCTTTTAAGAGTAATGAACATAGAAACATGTTTTTTTAAATCCTGAAAAGATCCAAATTATAATTTTTTTCTTTTATGACCATAGTTTTGGTGTCAAGTCTGGGAATTCATCTACTGGCCCTTGATATGGAAGAATTTCTCCTATATTTTTTCTCAAAGTTTTGGTTTTACGTTTAAGTTCATGATGTATTTTTGCATAAGGTTTGATGCTTGAATGTGTGTTTGTTATTTGGTAGATATTCAACTTCCCCAGCACCATTTATTTAGAAGGTCACCTTTCCCACCTTTCCTCTCTTAAATTGATGTTGTACCTTGTAAAAAGTTAGTGGTGAGGTGAAGTGGTATCACCAAAAAGGTAAAATAGAAAGACCTAGATCTCCTGTCACACACACACATGAGATCACAAGGAGGCAGAAGAGAGAACAAGAGCTGAGCAAAGGGAGAAGCGCCTTTTAAGCCATCAGATCTCGTGAGAACTCACTCACTATCACGAGAACAGCATGGGAAAAACCGCCCTCATGATTCTATTACCTCTACCTGGTCCTGCACTTTACAAGTGGAGATTATTACAATTCAGGATGAGATTTTAGGTGAGGACAGCCAAACCATATCAGACCCATTATATTCATACTTTAAAAAGTCAAAGACAAGGAGAAAATCTTAAAACCAGCCAGTGGAGGACATGAACAGACACTTCTCAAAAGAAGACATTTATGCAGCCAAAAAACACATGAAAAAATGCTCATCATCACTGGCCATCGGAGAAATGCAAATCAAAACCACTATGAGATACCATCTCACACCAGTTAGAATGGCAATCATTAAAAAGTCAGGAAACAACAGGTGCTGGAGAGGATGTGGAGAAACAGGAACACTTTTACACTGTTGGTGGGACTGTAAACTAGTTCAACCATTGTGGAAGTCAGTGTGGCGATTCCTCAGGGATCTAGAACTAGAAATACCATTTGACCCAGCCATCCCATTACTGGGTATATACCCAAAGGACTATAAATCATGCTGCTATAAAGACACATGCACACGTATGTTTATTGCAGCATTATTCACAATAGCAAAGACTTGGAACCAACCCAAATGTCCAACAATGATAGACTGGATTAAGAAAATGTGGCACATATAAACCATGGAATACTATGCAGCCATAAAAAATGATGAGTTCATGTCCTTTGTAGGGACATGGATGAAATTGGAAATCATCATTCTCAGTAAACTATCGCAAGAACAAAAAACCAAACACCGCATATTCTCACTCATAGGTGGGAATTGAACAATGAGATCACATGGACACAGGAAGGGGAATATCACACTCTGGGGACTGTGGTGGGGTGGGGGCAGGGGGGAGGGATAGCATTGGGAGATATACCTAATGCTAGATGACGAGTTAGTGGGTGCAGCGCACCAGCATGGCACATGTATACATATGTAACTAACCTGCACAATGTGCACATGTACCCTAAAACTTAAAGTATAATAAAATAAAATAAAAAAAAAAAAAACCAGCCAGTGGAAAGTGACTCATGAGGTAAAAGGAAACTTCCTTAAGATCATAAGCAAATGTCCCATTAGAAATCTTGCGGTGCAGAAGAGAGGAATAATAAATGAAAAGTGCTAAAAGGAAAACAAAACAGAACTGCTAACTAAGAATACTAAAAAGCACAAAATTGTTCTTCAAAAATAAGAGAGAAAGATCTCAAGTAAAGAAAATCTGAGGAAATTCATTTTTATTACACCTTTCTTAGAATTTCTAAAGGAAGCCTTTCAAGTTGAATCCAATGGTCACTAGAGAGCAACATTAAAAACATAAGAAAACATAAAGCTGCCTTGTGGAGATAGATATATTTACAAATACAGATCCTATAATACTGTGATGCAGTATATAAGTTGCTTTTAGTTCAGGTATAGAATATAAAAGATAAAAATATAAAAATAATTATGAAACTATTTTAGGGAATACATCTAAAAAGAGGTAATTTGTTAATCAATAACACATATGTGTGTCAGAGAAATAAGGGACTACAGTTTTTGTATGCCACTGAAGTTAAGTTGTTGTAAGTTAAAAATAGATTGTTAGAATTATATTTTATGTAATCACCAAGTCAATCATGAAATATCTACAGAAGATACACAAAAGAATGAGAAAGAAGTCAAAGCATGTCACCAACATAAATAAATAAATAAATAAATAAGTAAATAAATAGAAAACCAGCAAGACAAAAAAAGAGGGTAAAATAACTTCAAGACATACAGAAAACAATTAAAACATGGTAATAGATTATTTTTTGTCAGTAATTATTTTAGAAGTAAGTAGATTAAACTTCTCAGTTGATAGACACAGAGGCAGTTTAATAGATTACAAAAATCCAACTCTAAGCTGTCTCTAAGGATCTCATTTTAGCTATCAAGACACAATTAGGCTGAAAAGATAGAGAAACTAGTATTACATGAAGATGCCAAGCAAAAGAGAGCAGGGGTGGACATACTTATTTCAGACAAATTATATATCAAACCAAAAACTGTCACAAAACATAAAAAAAGAACATTCACCTGGAAAATATAATTGTAAATATATGTGCACTTAATAGTGGAGCTTTCTAAATTTTTGAAGCAAACATTGACAGAAGCTAAGGGAGAAATAGTAATATCATATTAGGAGAGGCTTTAATATTTCACTTCCAATAATGGGTAGATCTACCAGATGGATCAATAAGGAAAAACAGAATAAGAACAACACTATAAACCAATTGGACCTTACAAACATAAACATACTCCATCTAACAACAGCTAAATAGGCGTTCTTCCCAAGCAAACATAGAATATTATTCAGAATAGATCACATGTTGAATCGCAAAACAAATCTTAATGAACTGAAGAAAATTGAAATTATTCCAAGCATCTCTTATGACCACAATGAAATGAAATGAAAAAGCAGTAGCAACAAGAAAACTGGAAAATTCACAAATATGTGAAAATGAAACAACACACACTTAATGTGTCAAAGAAAAAGTCACAAGAAAAATTAGCAAATATCTTGAGATAATAAGAAAACTACAATATCCCAAAACTTGTGGGATGCAGCAAGGGGATGCTAAAAGAGAAGTTTATGGTGGTAAATGTTTACCTTAAAAAAGAGAAAAGAGGTCAAGTCAATAACTGAACTTAACTCCTCAAGGAATTAGAAGAACAAAATAAACATGCACATAACACCTTTAACATGTTTTAGTCTCTAAAATCCTTTCTTCGGAATTAATGATACTTAAATAAATGTCATATAGTAATTATGTTAAGTGATTTCTGCAGAAGGAAATGTGTTTTCAATATTTCATTTTTTATCAATAACTTGATAATATCAAGTTATTATCAAACATTTCTTATTTATTTTTACCACATCAATATATATTTCTTGAGATTTTTTACTATAGATTTAATAAGCAGATGTTTGTTTATTTAACCTTCTATGGTGTCATTTTTTTAACATTATTCTCCAGAGAAATAATTGATAAATATTACGCTTAGCCTGCATTTATGAATTTTAGTCACATGAACTGCTTCCCAGGAAATGTTTTATTGTTTACTTACATTCATTTGTGCTTCGCTTCATCTGCTTTGCAGATATCTGAACAGCCTAATTAACCATCTTCACCCTTGACATTCGAACGGAACACTGCCCATTGTTCATATTATTTTTTGTTATCAAAATACCAGAGACCTGAATGTTTAATACCAGCTGTCATGCATCTTGAATAAGTCTACCAGGTGCAACTATTTTTTTTAGCTAAAAATAACATCTTTCAAAAATTTTTATTGTAATACAAAATGACAGCAACTTAAATATTAAACTAATCACCAATTTATTTAAAAACATTGAGAAGGCCGGGTGCGGTGGCTCACACCTGTAATCCCAGCACATTGGGAGTCCTAGGCGGGTGGATCACTTGAGGTCAGGAGTTCGAGAACAGCCTGACCCACATGGTGAAACCCCATCTCTACTAAAAATACTAAATTAGCTAGACGTAGTGGCGCACACCTGTAATCCCAACCACTCAGGAGGCGGAGGCAGTAGAATCGCTTGAACCCCAGAGGTGGAGGTTGCAGTGAGTCGAGATAGTGTCATTGCACTCCAGCCTGGGCAACAAGAGCAAAACTCTGTCTCGAAATAAATAAATAAATAAATATTGAGAAAAAACTTTCAAAAATGATGTTAATTTTTATTAGATGATAATCAGTAATAGCGTAGCAGATTATAGCAGTGTTCTGTTCAAATATATGTGTTTTGCATGATCAACCTCAAAAACACCATGATCATAAGTTACAGACTGGCTATATGCCACCAAAAGATGTCATATTTAAAACTACAAATTATGGCATTATTTTACAGGTGGAATCCATTCAATAGAAGGACTTTTTAAGGTAGCCTCTATCCAATCATATGCATAATATTATATATTAATTCTACAAAATGTCAGCAATGAAAATATTCTGATATATAGTTTAGTTTTGCCTGTGATAAGTTAGAGGCTATTCTGGCCATGTTTCTTGGTTCACATTTATTAACATTACAGAAAAGCCTGAGGAACAAGACATTCTCTCTCTCTCTCTCTCTCTCTCTCTCTCTCTCCCTCTTCTCTCCATCTATCTTTATCTGGGTCAATGCTCTCTCTTATTTATATTTGTATCTATGTTTCCCTGGAATTAAAAACGTTTAGCAATTAAAATGATATTATATTTTTCTGAATGGACTATTTTGAACAATTTGTTGTAGAGATTAGCATCAGTTTTAAATAATTATATTGCCTTCTTGCAATGGAATTTTGTTGAAAGGTGAGGGTGATATGGATAAGAATATAAGGCAGTATTCATTCAATATAATTAATGGTTATATTAATTCATTTAATATAATTAATAATATAAGGTGTATTCATTTAATGTAATTATTTAAATTTTTAAATTTAGCTAATAATAATTATGTTATATAAATAACATTATCAAATTACATATTATAGGTTCATTTTGCTGTGGTAATATTGTACAAACTGTCTACTAAGAATTGCTACTTTAAGCATCATGATATATAACCAGTAGGGAAGTAATTATCAATTTTGAGAAAAACATTTTTTTCTCTACTTTAACTCTTACTTATGAGACTAACTTAAAGTACTATCTCATTACTTTTGGTGATACTATAGAGATAATATCTATGTTTGCAGTTCATTTATGTCTCCAATCATTAAAAAATAAAGATGTAATACCAAAGTACATCTAGGCACAATTAAATATCTAAATGTTATTTTCTAAAATTCAATTTGTGAAAACGGTCTTTAATAGGCCTCTCCATTTATTCTATGAAAATACTGCCTATGGCAAAATCATTTTTTGAGCAACAAAAAATCACCTTATTTGAAATATAATTTTTATTTTGTTCCAATTACACATAAAAATATTATAGGAGCATTCACTCAAGTAATATTGTTTATTTTAGCTCCTTAGCAGTAGATTTTTAATATTATATTTTCTCAACTAATATGATTAAAAAGTGTCACTTTTCATTATAGTCACAAAGTATCACACAGGTTATTGATCTAAATATAGACTATATGAAAGTCTTTGTCTATTCTCAAGACTTTTATGAAAAATTTTGACCGGTGTTACTAAAGTTATACAAATGGCTTAGAAATCATGATTTCATATTTAAAAATATTGATTATTATATAAGATGTAATGACCAATGAAATGATCATAAAATTACATGTTAAAGAAGAAAAATACTTCAAACACAGAATTATAATTACTCATACTCAGAAAACTTAAAGGGATATATATACAACCCTATATAAATGCTTACAAAACATATAAACTATTTTGAGATTAGTATTTAAAGTACGCTTTTCGGTTACCAATCACCTTACGTTGCCATTACTTCATTGTTGTGTTGTAATTTTATTGGACAATAATTGTCAGCATTTTTATCTCAAAAACAGTGGAGACTGGGAAATGTAAAATGACCATCACATCTCAAAGCCAAAATTTAAATAACAGGAAGAGTGTTTATTCAACATAAACTCTCTATTTTAAATCTCCTCTTCCTCCCCATTTGCATCCAACTGTACTACATAAATGTAAGCAATTTAAATTTCTATCTCAACAGAATTCAGAATATTTCCTTTTTAGAAAACCATCTAATAATATGGGAATAAATCAAATGAATTCCAATTATTTTACTTTATGACATTCTGCTAAAAACTTTGTGTGTTTTTGATTTTTGTGTATTTCACTTTATGACATTTTGCTAATAACTTACTCTGTACTTAAAAGTACACACAGCACTATCAAATACTCTGTGTACTCTTAAAATTCTAAATGTACTGTGACTATTTAATTTTAGTAATATATTGGGAAATGAGCTATTTTCTTACAGTGATGACAGTTTAAATAATCTGGCTTTATTACATGTAATAAATTTAGGTGTAAAAATATAGAAAGAGATAAATATTGAGATTGATTTTTTTTTACTGAGATTGAATCTAAACATTTTCAGATAAATAATTGGATATTTGTTTAAATAAACTGTCTAGAATTTTCCCCAAGTTTTTTAAAGCATTTTTTTTTTCTGCACTATTTCAATTTGCCAATGCTCCCTACAGAGAGAATAACTTTCTCAGTTATTCGTGATACCCTCTGTTCATAGAAACAAGCCCCTTGCTGTTCAAGTCCAATCTTTGAACCGTGGGGAAAAATAAGTTAACTGTAATTGATTTGTGGTCATCGGCTAGAGCTTTTCAACCAGAAAAATCAACTGAAATTGCTAGCAGCTTTGAGGATTGCCATATCTGTTTTTCTAGTAACCCTACCAAATCCCAAGTCCTTGGCCTATTATTTCTCAAGAATTCACTCTTCATATATGAATAGCCTAATCTCATTGTCAGCCCAGAATTCCATGGTGAGTGATTAATAAAAAAAAGTCTCTTCCTTTTTTTCTATATTCTGTGATGTATACTGTTCACCAGGCTTCAAGCATTTCTTAATTTCATCACTATTGGCATTTCTTAAGTAGCCAAAGTAAGACTCAAGCTAAGTCTCTTTTATGGAGATGACTAATCTGGTGGCATTTAGAAGGCATATTTGAAGAAAATTCTAATTTATAGGTAATATAGTTAGTTCAGCATTTTACTACTTATATTTTGCATTTATATACAAGCTAATAGTAATTTTATTGGCATCTGTTATATTTAATATCTTTCATCATGAAGCAATCAAGGCTGTAGTAAATTAAAATACTTGCCAAAAATTTCCGTGCTAATAGGTGACAGATACTGGGAAAGAGTGCAAATAATTTAGTAGTGGGGCCCTTATTCTTTTTAGTATTTCATGCTGCTTCTTAGAATGAGTTATATATGCTTAGCATATTTTAAGCTCAGTTTATAATAACACAAGAATTAAAATATTCCTAAAAGGAATCATTTGTTTTGACTTAAATAAAACTTGGTAAGAGGGGCTTTGATTCACAATTGACTAATGGAATCATTTGTTTTGACTTAAATAAAACTCAGTAAGAGGGTTTTTGATTAACAGTTGACCAAAACAAAAAATCTTATGCTTGTTTTAAGGCTAAAATTATGAAAAGTTTTAAAAACTTATTAAATCAAAATGCTTCCAATTAAGTATCAAACCAGAAAACAAACACTAGTTAAACCCTTAAGCTTCCAGTAGATCACTGTAGAGGAGTAAAGAGATAACTGTCCAAAGTCTTGGAAGCCTAAATTTCACATCACTGTAGAATTTTCAAACCAATACTAATTATTCAAGAAATCTCTCTTACTGACTATAAGAGATACTGAATAATACTTCTTAGTAATATTCCTCATATATTTATTATTTTCTTTGTAGTTATTTCACTCACATTTTAAATATGCATTCCCATGGTTACTTTTCTTAAACTATTTCTAAAATTAGTTGAAATATAAATATATTATTAAGCCTGAGTTTGTTAAAAAATGTCAATGTCTGGCTGAAATATGAGGACCTCTAGGACCTAAATCACTGGCTGGAACACAGACAATGCTTAACATCATTTTTTTGAAAGAAGAAAAAAATGAATGAAGTAATGAAAGAAGTAAAGAATTAAAGTACAAAAAAGAAACAGAAGTAGTTTAAGTCTGTGGTGGTCTTCTCTTGCTTTATAATAAATTACCACTAAGTTGGCAGCTTAAAACAACAAATTTATTATTTCACATTTCTTGAGTAAGGATTCTGGAGACTTCTTAGTTCAGTCATTTACTCAAGGTCTCACAAGGCTACCATCAAGATGTTGGCCAGACTACATTACTATCTGGGGGCTCAAATTTGGAAGAATTTGCTTGCAAGTCCATTCAGGTTGTTAGCAGAATTAAACTCCTTGCCGGTTCATGATTAGAAACATTTTTGGATTTTACAAATTGCCCACAGCTCCTTGCCACCGGCCTGCCTATATTATAAAACTCACGAACTGTCACCTCTAAATAAAAATGCAGTCTGGCTGACACCTTGATTGCCACTTTGTGAGAGTTAAGCAAATTACCCAGCTAAGTCATGCTGAGACTCCTGGCCTGCAGATTTTGTGAGCAAGTCAGCAATAAAACACATGAGAGGAGGTGAGCTCTCAGAGATGGAGCAGGGCCATATCAAGTGTGGTCTTATAGATTAACAATTTGAATTTTAATTCAGGTGTCATACTTAGTCCATAGTAAAAGAGGTCCCTTCTTTGTCCTTTATTCTTTAGAATCATCTCTCCTGCCAAGGAAGTAGTGAAGCTGATGAGAAGTGAGCACCTTTGTGTTTACTTTGAAGGTACAGTGAATAAAACTTGTTGATGGGTTGGATAAGGAGGGTTAGAAAAAGTGAGGTATCAAAAATCACTGCTAGTTTTACAGCTTGAATAGTTTGTTGAATAGTAATGAGTTTCATCTAATCTGCTATCTTAAAGCAGTGGCTATGAGAAAATATGTGAGGCACCCAGGATAAACAGACATCAAACTATGACTTTTAACTTTTCCCAAACCTAATAATTTAATATCTACACATAGCCTTCTCTAAACAGCAATTTATATAACCCATCCTCATACCTTGACTGATTATTTTTAAATTTGTTTCTTTCTCTGTGTCCATTTATTTGAGATATGCAGAGTTTCCTTTTATCAACTGCCCAAAGCCATGAGGAAATGTTACAGGACCAACACGTGCAAATGCCTACTGCATAGTAACAGACCAATACACTGAGACAGAAGGGTTTGTAGCAGAGAAAGAGTTATAGATTGCAGGGTGGCCCAGTGTCAAGATGGAACAAGACCTTCAAATCTTTCTCCTCAAGGAGTTCCTGGCTGGGATTTTCAAGGAGGTCATGGAGTGTGAGGGGATAGAAAATTGGAGTTATTGATTGGTTGGTGTCAGAGGGATGTAATTATCAGTATGTGGAAAATGCATTCTGTGGTGAGTCAGCTCCTCATGGGGTCCTTCAGACCAGCTGGTATCAGTAGTTTCATGGCTAAAGAATATCTTATATAGACAAGAACATTTCACAGTGTGAAGTTATCTATAGAGGAGATTAGGGGAATCATAACCTTTAGACAGAGTTTACATGACTCTCGGGTAGTAGGCAGCAAAAAACTATAAGAAAGTGGATCAGAGAGCAAACAGCCCTAAAGATTAATGCTGAGTATGCTGCAAGCTTGGTTTATTTTTGTTCCCCTCTTCCCTCCCATCTTCCATGATTAATTATATAATGTTTATAGGGATGATTTCAGAAGCATTTATTTTTCAGGGATTGCTTTTTCCACCCATTTGAATTAAATTAGGTTTAAAAATATACAACTAGATTTATACTGAAACTTTGTGTATTTGATACTCTTTGAAGAAATGCAATTCTCACAACAGCAATAACAAGCACGTCAAATAAATATGACTGTGCAGGGGCAGAAAAGTGGCTTTTTACAGTAGATTCACATTCATAAATAACTGACTATTATGTCAACTTGACATATTTCTTAATTCACTATAATTTAAGTAGAAAGTGAAAGTGTACAAAGGTCAAGAAAATTTGAATGGATTTTCACCCATCACTACTGAATTCTGTTCTATAGAATAGTTTTACTTATATAAAATAGCAATATATGTATTCTTATTTTTCAAATGTAATATTACAAACTCAGTTTTTTAGTCTCTAAATTTTAAATTTCTCAATTTAAAATTCCATTAACTTTTAGTTTCATTTGAATTCTTTATAGGGTGTATATAATACCAAATATAGAGATAAATATAACAATGAATGGTTGAGATTTATGCAACTGTTATAGGGATGTTTCAGAATTTCTGGATGACAACGGCCATAATAAAGATGCATGCAATAACATTATCTCAACTTTCATGTAAATATTTTGACATATTAGTAGTTTTCTAGATTAGGCTTTGGTAGATAGTATATAATTCAGCATGTTAGAGGAGGCTTTATAATTAGCTGAACAAATTGTTATATTCAATTTTGGATATGAAATCAAGTTTACTTTTCACCATCTATTAAATATGTAGAGAAAAGACAGATTCATGTGCATCCAGTGAGATAATCCAGAATAACTATAAATAAGTAGGGATTATTATAATACGAACATTAATTGAAGTCCAGCTTAGAGTATTGCATAGCTGAACAAGTGCTAGAACTGAGAAGAGAACAGTAAGGAATGCTGAGCACTTAAGCATTTGACATTAAAGAATGTAGTTCACCAAAAAGACTAAGCAGAAACATCAGTTTAAAAAGCAAGAAGGTGTGTCAGAAAAATCAGAGGGGTTATTTTCCCTTAAGGGAGAGAAAGTGGTCAACAGTATCAAAATTCAATGAGATCAAGTAATTTATAAACTGAAAAAATATATCTGACTTTGTCAGTTGAGTAATCAACATGTGAGTAACTAAATGTTCTTGTTGAAAACAACTTCAGTGGGCAAATCCAAACCAAAGTGTTCGGGATGGGGACCAACATTTTAGACATTTAGTGTCTGGCCTAGTAAAGAGGCAGAGCAATGCTAGCTCTCAACCTTTGTGGGTAAACTACTTAATTGCCTACGGCCCCCAAATGACTGAATAAATGGCTAAAGGTTTTGCTTATCTGCAAAATGGTCCTGATAATATGATCTGAAAGGATGTTTATTTGTATTTGTAAAGTAGGTAACTTAATGTTGAGTATATTGATAAAATGTCTCACGTGCCCATGTAAAATAACTTACATTAGATGAATGAATTTCACATTTATTATTGAAAATTGCTTTTTATAAAAATACCTTTAAGGTATTATCATTTTCTGTAAAATTTATTATTTATAGATAATACAGTGTGGTAACACATACTCCACTTCACTAATAAAATGGTTTTTGTATTCTTTAATTCTCATGAATTAAATCCACAATAAATCATTAATACATGTTGTGTGAGCAAATGAATATCTTTTAATAAGGAGAAGCTTGATTGGAGGCCCTTCCTTCCTCTGTCATTCCTTCCTTCCTTTTTTATATAATTTCTTTATCTTAAAAAAACTCTCAACCTACTATTTTTGGAAAATATATATCAAAAGGGTAAAACTTTACATAGTCCCAGAAAAGGTATGCCTTTTTTTTTTTTTTTTTTAGAAATGTAGCTAACTGAATTACTCTCAGGAGGTTTTAATTTCTCCATCTCAAGGCTCAAGGAATGTAAATGGAGATTATATTACCAATTGGTTACTTGTAATTAAAAAAAAAAACTGTCATCTAGAGATTTTTTTCCAATCCTCAGGCAGTATTGGATATGAATATGACGAAAGTAATGTACTAAAAGATTAGGCTAATATAAACCAGTATACACTGAAATCTCCCAAGAGAATTCCAAAGCACTATCAGAATATTCTCACATTGTCATCTTAATATCAAATAATATTTAAATAAACATTTAAATATTACTATTTTAATTTTACAAAAATGCTTTCAAATAATGATATGAATATTGAATTTTATAGATGTTTTTTTAAGTATGCTAAACTGACTAATTTAACTACTGTTAAATAAAGAATCTAATAGCCATAGCTAATATTCTTAATGTCTTAGTTTTCAAAGAAAGATCAGAAGTAATTTAGTTTAATTTGACTCTACTCCTTTGTATACTTAAAATTCTAGCCATAAATAATAACCAAGGATAGATCATCAATAAATAGATGAATAAATATATCATAGATATAGAAAGAGATAGGCCATAACATTTTTCCAAAATACTCTTAAGCTTGTCACAGTTAAATGGATGCCCAGAACTCTATTATAGACATATGCAGTAAAAAGTATAGTTGAACCTAGTAGTTGTAGAACTTAAGATAAAAATATTTACACAATGTAACATTTTTAAAGAATAAACCCTACATTTATTATTAGAAAGCATGCACAGGTTCACAAATAACACTGTGATCTTGGCTACCACAAAGCAATTTGGTAATATTGTTGTCCATATTTTAGGATTTATTAATACGTATCTATAATAGCTTCCGTAGCTGTAAAAACTCTAGCTAAAAATCAAATTCCATCTCTACTGTTTCATTAAAGTTAAGTAATATGAATGTGTGTTAATGTGCTAGTAGATTCTAGTCATCTTATAATTATTAGCTATAAACGTATAAAGCTTGTCTTATAGTGATTTTGTAAGAAATATATTTAATCATTTTAGATATCTCTTCTATTTTTTGAAAGTTTTATACAATAATCTATAAATACATAGGTTAATTTCCAGAAATTTTTTCCTCCATTGAAATATTCCATACATTTTCAGCTCCCCTAAAGGAATTATTAAATCTTTACTGAATAGACATTTACACAAATTGTTTAGAAATGTATTTTATCTATAGATATAATGTTCATTTTCATGATGGAGAATCAAATAACAAACCAAAAATAGAACAACAGATACAGTGGACGTTATTAATAAGGACCTTGCTTTCAGCAAAATAACTTCAAATACTACAAACTGCAGCCTTGGGACTGTAGACAAAAGGGCACCCATATTTAGAGAACCATTGATTTGAAACATGTCACTCTTTAAACTTTGAAAAATAGTTTGAAGGTGATCACTTTCTCAGGATTAAGCTATCCTCACCCTTAGAAGGTAAGATTTAACTTTATAGAAAACAATATATAAGGAAATGTAGCAGGTGGAAGGTTGTACTATCTTCTCAAAATAGCTGATTTCCTTACTGCCATACAAAAAAAGGGTCTATCAAAACTAAGTAATAAAGGGATTGGATCATAGAGTTATAAAAATGTATTTTATAGCTAGCTATCAAATTTTAGCTTAGGGAATATAAATATGTATTTATATTAATAATATAACAAATAATAAATAATACTAATAATTGATGTTTTAAATAATCTTTTAAAATCTATTTTAGATTGTCTTGTCAAGTATTTTGTTGTCATGTTCCATTTCATAAAGGTACAATGTACCCCTTTCAATACTTTTCTTCCCCAATATCACCTACTCTTACATTATTATTCAAAATAATATGGGTTTCATTTGTGTTTTTATGGTAATAATTTACTGTAAAACCCCATAATTCATACAGTGTAATATTTTGTGTATGCATATGTTACTTGAAATTATATCCTTGTGCAATCAGCTTTCTCAAGAAGCAGTATTTGAGCATTGGAGAATGTCATCTAGAATTTATGAGGAAGGCCACAGTTTAGCAGTTAGTACTACAAGCATTTCAGCTTTCTTTAATTTTGATTAACATGAGATGATTTGTTAATTAGCTTAGTGAATGTAATGTGTGAGTATTGGTATAATTAAAATTAATGGATTATTATTATCAATATTATAAATGACTAATCATTGTTGAAATGAAGAGTTTTCATAATATGTGGATTGGTTGGCCAGAAAGTTTTTGAGGTGATACAAATTTTTACAAATGTGAAATAAGAATCTAGCCAAGCCGATAACCTTTATCTTTCAGAATGGCGTCCAAGTTTTACATTCTAATTATGATTTAATTTTTGTTACTTTTGGCTACCACCGTGGCTCAGCAAGCTTTACTTCCTCAATGGTCTTGTGTTCAGTATGGCCTTTCACTTGAAGTACTTCTTGTTTCTTAGCGATATCTATGGGATCAATAGTCCCTTGTGTCTGCTCTATCAGCGCTTTTTCCTTGGGAAACCCTTTCATGCCAGATGTATTTAGAGCACTTAAAAGGTGAGATATTGGGGGCTTCAAGAAGCACACAAACTATATTGTATGAGCTGTTGTGTACCTTCCTTGGAAATAAGATTTTTAAAAATACATGCATGATTTGCAAAAATTGTTCTGAAACTTGTTTTTGTAATGAACATGATACCCTGTTGTAGGTGCAGTTGCTAGCCTTCTCCAGCTTTACACATAACCATGCTGTTGAGTACATCAAATGGAAATGGGTAAGAAAAAATACCAGGCAACTATGGCTAGTTTATTCTTCTAAATAAAGATTCACTTGGTAATTTAAATATGCCAATGAGGAAAATGTAAAATTCATTTATATAATAATTCAGTTTTAGAGTAATTTTATTAAAACTTGTGATAAACTTTATTTTATATGAAAAGTAATTATGTTAGTTGTGCAATTTCAAGAGAAAAGTCAGGAAATTTCCACTTTTCTATATAGAAGATAATTTACCATTTAAAAATATTAATATCATTGTGGATTTAAATTGTTTTCATTCTGACATTACTTAAATGTGAAAAAAACTATAATCATTATATCCTATTTAGGCTTATATCTCTTATATAATAAAGAGATCATAAAATTGATAGAAATTTTTGACCACAAATAATTAAATGTTAATGAATTTTATCATTAAAATTTTATATGACTATTAATGGAATCACCTGTCTAAATCATTATTTCATAATAATAAATATATGCATTTACACTTTTATTTTTAATTAGTTTTTATGTTTTTAACTATCATGAGAAACCATCTCTTGGGTCTCTATTTTTTTAGGTTACTATTACTTTCCCACCTTAAAACATATATTATAAATCTTGATCTATTTTGCAACTAGTATGCCAAATTATAAAAAAATTATGTATATATTTGCATTTAAGTATAATATAGATATTCCAATTTTCTTCATTATATATTTACAATGGCATAATGACATAAATGTTAGGAAGTATCATGACAATTTTGAAATAGATTTAAAGACAGATTCATTTATAATTTAACAATATAACCTAATTAATGCCTTCTGTATATTGACATCATTATTTCTTCTTGAAAAACATTCAACATCATTATTTCTTCTTGAAAGAACCAAATTGAGAAGTCCCATTATCTCATGAGACTTATAGTTCAATGGGTGAGGGAAACAATGAACATTAAAGACATTGCTGCCTAGTATATTTATACACACTGATAGCTGACATTAGTAAATAATTCATGTATTTGCAGTGCAAATATAGGACTGACTACTACATGGACTCACATAACTTGTGCAATCAACAGTATGATTTTTATCAACATCCCAAAAAATTATTTGACCCTTAAAATACATGATTTATGGCCTGGCACAGTGGCTCACGCCTGTAATCCCAGCAATTTGGGAGGCCGAGGCGGGCAGATCACTTGAGGTCAGGAGTTTGAGACCAGCCTGGCCGACATGATGAAACCCCTTCTCTACTAAAAATACAAAAATTAGCTGGGTGTGGTCTCAGGTGCCTGTAATCCCAGCTACTGAGGAGGCTGAGGCAGGAGAATAATTGGAACCTGAGAGCTGAAGGTTGCAGTGAACTGAGATTATACCACTACACTCCAGACTGGGTGATAGAGCAAGACTCCATCTCAAAAATAAATAAATAAATAAATAAATAAACAAACAAACAAAGTGATTTATTCTCTAAATCCACTTATTATTTCATCCTAATTCTTCTCAACATATAATTTTCCTGAGGTCAAATCAAATTGTCAATTAAAAACAAATTAAGAAAATTGTGTCTTCTACTGAAATATCTCTTAAGTGAAAGTAATCACTGCGCAAGAGGAGAATTTCTTTATAACTCACAAAAGCATTCACCAGAAGCCTAGTGGCAGATGACCTATGGTTGTCCTTCTGACAAAGGATATGACTTCCTAAACGCTGTTGGGCATGCTTACCAGCTTGTTGAATGTTAATGGATGTCAATTTAGAGTAGTGGCTGCATGAATAAAATAGTAACTCAGAAAACATTTTTGGGAATCTACATTTTATAGAAGCATTTGATTTTAATATAGTATCCTACATAATTGAGCAAATAAATGTTTATTTTAGACTACACTTAAAAAGAAAAGAATTTCCTTGAAACTTGAGAATACCTAATTGGACCCCAGTTTGAAGTAACTATTTTCAGAAGTAAAATACCTTAAATATAATTTTATTGTGACTTGTTTGCAAAACATGAGGAGACATCTTATCTTAATTGTAGAATCTTTACTTTGAAGAAATCATTTTATGTCTTAATTTTACTTTTGGCATACTAAGAAAATGTATTTTTTTGTCATTTTTGTGCAAGTGGTATTATCAAAGAAAAAGAAAAAATATATTAAAGAAAATGTCTGTTACATGATGTGTTACTTTTCATAAAGCAGAAAATCAGCTACATTGTAAATTAACATCCTTCTGATTTTTAAATCTGATTTTGATCTCACTCTCAGATGTATCAAGGGAAATTTTGCTGAGTACAACCAGTAAAACCAATAGCAAAGGGTTCCTTTTAGGTTTGCTGCTTGTCAACAACCAGGAATATTGTTGCATGTCTACTTCATGAATAACTCTTTGGCTCTTTTTACTTACATACTAGATGCTGGTTTCTTTTCATCTTACTTTCTATTTAACTTGATTCTTTCAACTTTATCGACCAAATAAGTAACACTATACTCATAACTTCTAAAATGTAAAAAAAAAAACTGATTTTTTATATGCTGTTAATTTGGGATATGAGAGATAGAAAATGAATTTTTGGACATTTGTGTATATGGAATAAGATGATGTTTAAAATATGATAACTGCATTAGTTATGAGTTTTTAAGAGAAACAGAACAGAGAAACAGGATATACACATGTATTTGTGGTTGGGTGTCAGGAGTGTTGGCGGGGTGGGGAGAGAGAGAGAGAGAGAGAGAGACAGAGAGAGACTTATGTTAGGAGATTTGTTGGCTCATGTGATTGTGAGGACTAGAAGGTCTGAAATCTTCCCAATAGGTGGTAGGCTGGACATTCTGGCAAGAGTTGATGTTGTAGTCTTGAGTTGAAGGCCGAGAAGTCCATGTAGAATTTCTCTGTTGAAGTGTAGAGACAAAATTATTTCCCTCTTGAGGGAAGTGTCTTTTCTCTTAAGGCCTCAATTGTTTGGATGAAGCTCACTCATATTATATGATTAAATATGAATCACATCTAAAAATTATCTCCACAGCAAAACCTAGATTGCCGTTTGACCAGAAACTGGGGACCAAGGTCTAACAAAGTTGACACATAAAATTAACCAACACAGTGTACCCTTTGTGAACTTGGTACCCATACGTATCTCCTTAAACCATATTTCATCTCAAAGTAAAGACAATTAAGGACAAGGTTATCCTCAGCCTAACATGATACAATTATCCTGTGTACAACTTAAAACACACTATCCCATTTCCCAAAAGAAGATGCAAAGTTCTTGGTTAAAACATCCATCATAAGGAAGAAATGCTAATAACAATCATAGTCCTTGTTTCTGCAACTGGTCATTGTGGCCATAGCTGGTATTTGTAGCTACCTTCTTTATCTTCTTCCAGTACACATTCTATATTCTCTTTGCCCTCAGCAAGTACCTTAGCTGCTCCTGGTTCTTTATCTGGCAGAGTGATTGAAAACACACTAATCCCTTCCTGAAAGCCTTCAACTCAAGACTGCAACATTAACTCCTGACAGAATTTCCAGCCTGTCACCTACCGGGAAGACTTCAGACTTGTGTAGATTATATTTGTTAATTTTATACGTCAACTTTGTTAGACTATGGACCCCAATATATGGTCAAACAGCAATCTAGTGTGAAGATGAATGTATATAGAAAGAAAACATCTTTGATTTCTTCCCTCTCTCCTCCTAATCATAGAATTGTGAGGTTTACACTTCTTCTGATATCTTACAACTTAAATACCATGATGTAAAATTAACAATACTTAAATACTAACATAATGCCAATATTTCTCATATTACATGACAAAAAATAAGAGATGAATGAAACCAGATACATTTGCTTAATATATGCCTATATATACACATACATATTCATAACAAAATTTGGAGAAAATACTCATGACTATTGCAGTCCTTGTTTCTGTGATGGGTCATGTGGTCATAGCTAGTATGTATAACTACCTTCTTCTACTACCCATTTTGTAATCCTTTTGCCTTCAGCAAGCACCTTGGCTGGTCATGACTTTTTACCTGATGGGGTGACCCAAACCTTCACTCTTGAAGAATCTGTGCTATTAGTTGTCGTATCTTGGACTGTTACAGTTTTCCATTAATTTTAATCATGGGGCTTCATAGTACCCAGAGATACTATTAGGGATCTCCTGTATTCAGACATACTCTTCCTTATCTTCATTGTGAACCAGCAATTCACTTCCCCTTGGTACTACAACTAGTACAGCACCTCCTTATGTTTTTTTTAATGAGGATCCCAAAGTGGCTAGCAGCAATCTTAACTTCTAATTCAATGTAATAATTGTTGCATCTTTTGATGAAAGTATTTCTTCTTTTAGAACTATGTTTCTAGGCCAGTCCTCTGCTGGCCTAGAGGACTTCATTCTAAAAGGAGAAATACTTTGTAGGAACAGAAAGCAAGACTTTTGCTATAGGATCTCTAGAGGTAATAGCAAGTGTTACAACTCCCATTTCCAGTACTTGATTCTTGGACCATAAGTTCCGGCTATGGGAGAAACAGCACCACACACTGAATACTTATTTAGAGTATAGATAAATGATAGATAACTGTTTCATCCCTGAAAGTTACTGCCACCTACCTTGTGTGGTAACTTAGTCTTCAAAAGGCCATTTGAGGCTGGGTGCAGTGGCTCCACCTGCAATTCCAGCACTTTGGGAGGCCGAGGGAGGCGGATCACCTGAGGTCAGGAGTTTGTGACCAGCCTGGCCAACATGATGAAACCCTGTCTGTACTAAAAACACAAAAATTAGCCGGGCGTGGAGGCAGGTGCCTGTAATCCCAGCTCTCAGCAGGCTGAGGCAAGAGAATCACTTGAACCCAGGAGGCGGAGGTTGCAGTGAGCTGAGATTGTGCCATTTCACTCCAGCCTGGGCAACAAGAGTGAAACTCCATCTCAAAAAAAAAAAAAAAAAAAAAAAAAAAAAAGCCATTTGACACATACATCTTCCCAGGACCTTTTTTGTTTTGTTTGTTTTTGTTTTCATTGATTTTCAAACTATTTTCCTTACAAATTCCTGGTCTTTCGGTAAACCATTGGCCACAGCCCTTGTACTGCTATATAATCACATATGTGGCTATTTTTCTTTCCAAGCAAAATAAACAACCAAATACATTTACCAATTTTTAGGGTTGTGCAGAAAAACACCCAATTCTACAACTTGCCCTTTCTTGTAGTACCTACATTTTGCACAGAACCTTCTGTGAACTAGGCGTGAGTTTATCTTCCTCTGTCAACTGATAGTAGGGAACTTCCCTTAATGTTGCAGGGACAGGCTAGGAGAAAAACATCAGTGTAGCAGGAGTGAGAGCCATACACATTTGGACTACTTCATGTAACTTGCTTGTGCCTTCGGGGCCTGCTCAAACCTGATCTCATATTTATCTTTTACATTCAATGATAGAGTGCTGCTGTGCACACCCAACTTAGTGGCTTTTTGGGTCAGACAACACACAGTTAATAATGGGCAGCTCAGCTCACATGATAACTTGATGGTCCATGGTTAAGGGTTCAGACTCTACTAAATCATAGTAGTGAGGAAAAAGCTCTTCTCAAAAGCGAAAGAGTTTTCTGCACAGGAAAGCAGGGATATGCTTCAATATTCTAAGGGAATACCTGTGGTTCACTTATAGCTGCCTGCCAAAAACTCCAAACAGCATCTCTGTCTGCCATTAAAATTTCAAGAATCCGTTGATCTACTGGACCATATTGCCAAAGTGGCAGAGCAGTATTTATGAAAGCCAAGATCTATTGCAGAATCTTCTTTTGTGCTGGGTCTCACGCAATACTAGCAGCTTTTTGGGTAACTCAGGAAGTAGGCCAGAGTAACATATCAAAATGAGCAAAATGAGGAATATGGTTTTTTTTTTTTTTTTTTGAGACGGAGTATCGCATTGTCGCCCGGGCTGGAGTGCAATGGCACGATCTTGGCTCACTGCAACCTCCGCCTCCCGGGTTCAAGCGATTCTCCTGCCTCAGCTTCCTGAGTAGCTGGGATTACAGGCATGCGCCACCACACCCAGCTAAGTTTTTGTATTTTTAGTAGAGACAGGGTTTCACTATGTTGCCCAGGCTAGTCTCGAACTCCTGACCTTGTGATCCGCCCACCTCGGCCTCCCAAAGGGCTGGGATCACAGGCGTGAGCCACTGTGCCAGTCCAGGAATATGTTTTTGAATCTTGGCAAAAGGGTCATCCCTATTATAAAATGACAACTTTGTTGAACTATATTCTGTTGGTTGAAAAGTATGTAAGGGACGAACCTGGATGTTTAGCTGAAGTATATTTTAATAAAAGGGTTGAATGCAAAGCCTGGTTTCTTCTTGTTTATTATAGCTGAATTCCTGAAAAGGGATGCAGTGAAGAAAGAATTTTTAAGCAAAAAGTAACAAGAACTTGAAGAGTTAACCATTCTCAGCCTATTATCTTGCAAAAAGTAAAGTTATGCTTTAGAGATAATACCAAAGGTATGGCTGGACAACATTTTGCTAAAGGGATTTGTTGTGTGAGCATGCATAATCGACCATCTAAGTAGAAATGCTGAAGTTTGGGACTGAAAAGGATGGACAGAGAGGGGAGGACATGAAGAAGGGCTGTCAGATTTCTGAAAATCTACAGGCGGGAAATAGGCATACATGGCTATTCGGTCACAAGCACATGTTATCCTTCCAGAAAAGAAAAGGATGACTCCAAAGATGGTTCAGAGTCTGGGGTGGGAGGGGTTGCTAATGCATTCAAAGGCCTGGAGAATACAGACTCAAAGGATAGGACCATATCTTCCTAAATTCCAAGGGGCCAGGTTACTTCCTATGGCTGAGTAGCCCTAGTGGGCCCAGAACATGAGGCTACCACCTGGTTGGGCATGGAGAACAGAACATCAGGCCCAAGAGGGTTGTTCTAGAACAAAAAACCAAACACCGCATATTCTCACGCATAGGTGGGAATTGAACAATGAGATCACATGGACACAGGAAGGGGAATATCACACTCTGGGGACTGTGGTGGGGTCGGGGGAGGGGGGAGGGATAGCATTGGGAGATATACCTAATGCTAGATGACACGTTAGTGGGTGCAGCGCACCAGCATGGCACATGTATACATATGTAACTAACCTGCACAATGTGCACATGTACCCTAAAACTTAAAGTATAATAAAAAAAAAAAAAAATTAAAAAAAAAAAAAAAGAAAAAAAAATAAATAAAGTCTTAATATCTAAAAGAATTTGTCCTGCTAGGTTTTAGATTTGCTTGATGCCCATGACCCCTTTCTTCCTTTCAATTTCTCCCTTTTGGAATTGGAACATCATCCAATGCCTGTCTTAAGATTGTATTTTTAAGTAGATAATGTGTCTGGATTCACAGATTTTCAGCTGGAAAGAAATTTAGCTTCAGGATGAATCATATCTTGAGTCTTACTCACACCTTAAATAGATGATATTTAAATGAGATTATTGGATTTAGAGTTGATATAGAATCAGCAATGACTTTTCAGGATGTTGAAATAGGGTGAATCCATTTTGCATGTGAGAAGGATGTATATATTTTAAGGGAAAAGGGAGTGGTGTTGTGGGTTGCATGGTGTTTCCCTATGTTTACTTTTGTGTTGCTAAAATAGAATAACAGAGACTGGGCAATTTATAATGGACATAAATTTATTTATCACAGGTCTGGAGATTGGGAAGTCCAAGATGAAGACACTAGCGCTGATGAGGGCCTTCTTGCTGTGTCATCTTGTGGTGGAAGGTGGAAGGGCAAAGTGAGGACAAGAAGAATAAAGGGTGGCAAATTCCCTTTTATATAATGAACCCACTGCTGTGATAATGATATTAATCCATTTACTCTACCCTCATGGCCTAACCCTCTCTGATTAGTCCCCACCTCCCATTGGGGATTAAGTTTCCAACCTATAATTTTGGGGGAACACACTGCATTGGGGATTAAGTTTCCAACCTATAATGTTGGGGGAACACACTCAAATCATAGCACCTCCAACACTTACATGCTAAAGTCCTAAACTCCAGTATTTCCAAATGTGATCGTATTTGGAGATAGGGTTATTGCAAATGTAATTGGTTAAGTTAAAATGATGTTATTAGAGTGGGTCCCCATTCAATATGACTGGTGTTATTATAAGTAGGGAAATTGGAGTGCACAGACAGACATAAAGAAAAGAGAGACAACGTGAAGATGTGGAGAAAGCTGTCTACAAGACAAGAAGAGAGTCTTGGAACAGATTCTTGCCTCACAGTTTTTAGAAGAAACCAACATGGCTGATACCTTGATTTCGGGCCTCTGGCTTGTGAAATTTTGAGACAATACATTTCTGTTGTATAAATCACTCACTCTGAGGTACCTTGTTATTGTAGTACTAGCAAATTAATCCAGTGTGTAACATCTTTATATTCATCATATAAAATTTATTTAATTAAAAATTTGGGATATTTTAAATAGCTCACAATTCAATATTTTATTATTCAAGATATTTGATAATTAAGAAAACATTACAAAAATTATAACACAGTAACATCTATTTTACCCATGCTTTCTAGTTTGAGTTTAAATATCAATGAATATTTATAGACTATTTCCCCTACTTTCCCACTTACCATATTATTATACTTGAAGAAATTATGTAAAATTAAATGAATATATTATAACAATTTTAAAAGCTCATATTTTGAGATTAATATATATAATCCTAAAAAATCTCACAAATATATAAATACCTATTGATATGTTCCATTATTACCTAATGACAAATTACTAGAAATTAGCACAAATATTATTCTTTGGATACATATTTTTATATTGCTTTCTCAAAATTTGCACTGGTTACTCCTGATACTAACAATATGACCATGTCATTTTTGACTATTCAGCCTTGAAAATGTCACTTTAAGAAACCATGTTTGCTTAAACATTTAAAAATTGTTGTTATTGTTTTAATTAACATATGGTTAATTGCTACAAACCCAGGGACATTATGATTTTAAAAATATATAGATCAAAATCACTTGATACTTCATGACTAAGCTTACAACTATACAATGAATTTTATTAAGAGAGATTTAATTTTCTCCAACACTATACCACCGAAAAATATGTGCATGATCTTGGCGGCAATAAAGCAGAATATATTACACTTTAGGACACATGAATATGTGCTGACTATGTTTGATGAGGATAAAGAAAATTTTCACTGAGTGAAGAAATACATATTAAAGAATTAATTGCCTAGTGGCTAATCTAAAATAGGTGGATTTGAGGCTGTGTCTATCAGCTTGATAAAATTATGCCTGCAAAATCAAAACTTAGATTGTGGACCACTAGGGGAAAATTGGGAGAGGCAGTTATTTTAAATGAGATCATGATGTTTTAGCTTCCTCAGGATTCTTAGAGATATATGAGAGTATTTTATAATATTACATTAAAATTTCTAAACATGGTCATTTGGAACATATTCCAAACATAAATTTAATTTCGGCCTTCTCTTCCCTCTGGTTCACTGCTTCTAATGGTTATCCTTCCATTCATTTTACCTTGACGTAATCTATTCCTCTCAATGTTATATTCTGATTTATAAAACTTAGGAAAATCTCTTAAAGTTTTTGTTTTCCGAGAATGTTTTAAGGAGACAGCAACTTCTGCAGAAAACATGTAAAATACAGTTTAAAAAAAAAAGAAAAATGTATATATATATATGTGTGTGTGTGTGTGTGTGTGTGTGTGTGTGTGTGTGCCTAAAACCAAACACGAAAGAGAGGATATTAATTTCAATATTTTGCCACTATTTAAAAATTATCTGCCACACTTGGATCAAAAGGGTGAGAGTAGTTAAGTGACCACCTCACCTGGGACATAGTGTCAATCTTTCCATCGACATCTGGGGGACAGGGCAGTGAAAGCCTCATTTCTAAGAACTATAACCCTTTTCTCAGCTCTCCTGAGCAACAGCTACCATATGCCCCATACTCCCGTGGGTGTCCTCAGCACTAGTCTCTCATTTGCTGGTTTTATTAATCTAGCTACATATAGAATTACATGTTGCATACTGCCTCTGTTAGCATTAATTCCTTTTTTAACCCAAATATCTAATACGTGGACAATGAAACTCACTGGACCATTGTTTTGGTCAGCTTTCTCCAGGGAGAACCAATAGGATATATATAGAGAGAGATGAAAAGTAAATCTATTATGAGAATTGGTTCACTTGAATACAGACACTCAGAAGTCCCACAATAGGCCATCTTTAACCTGCCAAATAAGGAAATCTGGTAGTCTCGCTCAGTCCAAGCCTCAGACACAGGGAACCTGATGGAGTAATTCTCAATCCAAGACTGATGCCTAAGAGGCAGGAGCAGGCGCTGCTTATGTGAGCACCGGAGTACAAAGGCCAGAGAACCTGGAGCTCTGTGTACAACGGCAGGAGAAAAGGGGTATCAGAAATCCAGCAAAGATAGTAAATTTGTTCTTTCTCCACCTTTTTGTTCCATCCAGCCCTCACTGATTGAAAGGTGCCTGGCCACAATGAGTGTGAATTTTCCCCACTCATTCCACTGACTCAAAAGCCAGTCTCCTCTGGAAACACCCTCACAGACATCCCTGGGGCAGCCCAATTATTTTAATCAAAACCAGAACCACCTGGCTTTCCCTTCAGCAGAAGAGAGACATGCTCAGTGCCAACCGAAGCATTGAGAGTAATTAATGCTTTACCAGCTATCTGAGTAGCCCTTAATCCAATCAAGTTGACACCCAAAATCAATCATCGCAACCATGAAGAGTAATCAACCCAATGTTTTTATCAAATATATTAAATCTAAGCAGCTCACATAAGTGAACAAGAACATAAACACATGCCCCAAAACGCAGTTTATAATTAATTGAATCTAATATCTTTATAATTAAGAATATATATCTTGAAACTTATTTGTTACTCAAAATTATTGACAAAGTTGGGCTATGCATGAATCTAGCTGCATTTACCACGAGGCATTTACTACCTGTTTTAGAGGAAATGCTCAGATGCGAAGTTTAGTACTTATCAGGTAGAGTTCAGGGCTTATGAAATTTATCATTGCAAGTAAATAAATCTGTTACCAGTTGCCTTTTGCAATATTGCAAACTATTTGAGGGCAATTACACAGTATTATTTATCCTTATTATGCCGCTGCCAAATGTAGCATCTGTTGAATGGTAAAAACTCAGCTTATGTTATTTTTATTAAATAAGTTACGCATCTTAGGTTCTATAAATACATACAAATATTGATTTTGATCCTTTATATAATGTTATTTAAATGTGTGTAGATCATTATATTTATAATAAAAATTTGGGGGAAGTTTTAAATTATATATTTCAATAGTTTTAGATTGAGCTATTATATGCATTAAGACATTCTGTTAATTCATAAAACAGAATACTGAAGTGGGAAATATGTTAAATACTTTTGATAACAATGTCATTTTTATATGGTCATAACATTTTATATGGTTCTAACATAGAACGTTTGATATGGGTCTTACTTTTGTCTTGTGAACATTAGCAAAGGAAAAAGTTTTTTTAAATCACTGTATCCACAAGTCTCAACAGAGTGTCAAATACATTTCAAGTGCCCAATAAATCTTTGTTATACTTACACATAAGAATGAGTATAAACATATTCAAAAACAAATAAAAATACACTTAATCCTCAGGAAATTAATACTATAGTGGAAGAATCTAAACATCAATATTTAAGTGAAAGTATAAGCTATAGTGAGAGAAGAAAAATGTTTAAATGTGTAATAAATGAGCAAAATTTACTGTGACAGGTAAATATGATATATATTTTAAGAGAAAGAGGCAATCAATATTTTCTATAAAATGAAGTGAATGAGAAGGCATAGAGTTACTGAGATGGAAAAATTTGACTTTCATGATATAAGCATGCACTGAAACCAAAATGTTAGGAAAACAAAATACAATGAAGCAATGACTAAATTTATATCAAGAAATTAGACAAAATATTCTACAAAAGAGTTAGGTAATAGTGCTAGAAATGTCAGAGAGAAGAAAAATATAAAGACCAAGTCCAATTAATTCCATCAGTATAAGGATAATTCAACATCAAGAAATATTTAACATAATTCTTTATAACAATATATCATGAACAAAATCAGATTAATGACTGTTGAAAAGATAGTTAATAAAGATAAATAGCTGCTTGTAACTGACAAAACATGAGCCAAACAGTAACAGATAGAACATACTTTTAAAAATTAACCACACAGATCAAACTAAATTCTAATATACAAGAAATTACTTCAATTTCCATATAGTGGTATGCACATGGAAACATTTCCAACATTTTTTGAAAGTGCTGATTAGTGAAGTGACAGAACTATTCTATAAAATCTATACCTTTAGAAAAAAAAATGGACATGATAGCATAGAGGCAAAAGCCAAGAAGCTCAACTGTATCAAAAGTATAAAAAATTGTATAAGAAGGCTGACTTTAGAGAATTCATATATAAAAAAAGAGATATAAGTATACTGATAGGTACCTTTTATCTATTAAATCATTAAGTAGTTGAAATGGAAATAAAAATTATATGCACTATATAATATTGACAAAATGCTCAAATCATACTCATGGATTTTTAAATCTGATTCTGCATTTGTAGTGCTCCAGGTGTTTGGCAGAAACAAATGCAAATTCTTTATTTAAGAAGACAGCTTTACACTTTCAAACTAGGATTTAGGGAATTCCTACAAGCAGTAGGACATGACAATGAACAGAACACAAAATAACAAAACTAAGCACAAGGGAAAGAAGGCACCACAAGTGAGAAAACAAAAATGTAAACAAAAAAATAAAACAGATGTCAGACTGGTCCTTGAATATTTCAAATAATAAAACTATCTGACAGACTGTAAGCAACTATGATCATTAAGTCTAAAAATATTTTTCTAAAAACATTGAAAATACCTACAGATATCAGAATATTCGGAAAAGTGTCATAGCAGATATAAAAACAAAAAGAATCAAATAGAACTTATAGAATTGTAAAATACAAGAAAGAAATGATGAATTTTTTTATCAATAGTTTGGACACAGTTGAGAGAAAATTAATCAACTGATATAAATATTAAAAGACATTATGCAGAATTCAACAAAGAGAAACACACAAGTTGAAATACATAAAAGAGAAGTTAACAGATGAGGAAGAAAGATGTATATGTTTTAGACAATATATTTTATGGGTACCGAAGATTAAGAGAGACAGAGAGACAGACAGAGAGAAAGAAAGAGACAGAGATATATGGAGACACAGGTTGAGAATTTAGCATAGGCAACAATAGAAGCAATAATGGCTAAGATTAGTCCCCCACCAAACATTAATGTATGAATAAATGTTAACTAACTTTGGTATTTTAAAACAATTGCACTGATTTTTGGCTGCTTAAAGTTATAAATATGTAGGAGTATGTATGTGTTTGTGTGTATGCCAGAAATAAATAAATGGAATCAAGTTGCCATAAGATTTGTGTGAAAGAAGAATGAAAATATCAGTTTTAAACTTTGATTAAATGTATGATGTTATATCTAAAATAATGTTTAAAAATGAATATTCAAGATAACTTTAAACTAATTAGACATTTCTCTATCAGTTATCTGTATTTGTTGAGCATCACCCTAAAATTTAGTGACCTAGAACAACAGTAATTATATATTCTCTTTTATAATATTGCAGGTCAAGAATTAGAGTGTCTCATCTGGGCCATTCTGGCTCAGGGTTGATTATGAGGTTACAGTATAATAATGTCTGAGATTGGAGTTATCTCAAAGTCTTTTACATTTACGTATTTTGTAACTGGGATGATAAGACAGAAACAGCTCAGGCCTGAAACCTCTGAGGCTCTCCAGGAATCTCTGCCTTTTCGAAGAGTCTCCGTTGTGATCTAGCCAGCACTGGAGGTTTAGCATAGACAGAGGCTCAGAGTTACCAAATGTGTTTCCTGAGAGTTAGCCAGGTGGAATTTATATCACCTTCTATTTCTTTCAATACATACTATTTCTTAAGTTATACATCCCACCATGGTTTAGGCAGAAGGAACCTAGGCCTTCTCTCTCAATGGAGAAGCATCCCAGTTTCTGAAGTCTTCCTTTCTTTTTAATTTTTAATATGCTGGGACCCAAAAAAATGCATGACCTCTGCAACTTCTGAAAGGCCCTGACTGGTGTATGCATATGTGTGTGTGTGTGATTATCTAACAGAACAACTATTCTCACATAGGCACATACGTATATGAGAATAGCCATCAGAACAAAGTTTGTAATAGCATTGAAATAGTAACAGTCCAACTATATAAGAATGGAAAATAAATTGTGGCATATTCTCTCACTAGAATGCGTACTACATAGAAAATAAATAAGTCACATGTTCATCTACACAGATACATTTCACTACATAATGTTGTGCAAAAGAAGCAAATGACCAAAGAGTAGCCAAATAACAATTTCATTCCTGTAAGAGAAAAAGAGATGAAACTAAGATATATTGTTTAGTAAATGCATCTATCTAGTTGTACAATATAAAGAAGAGCGAGGACTGTATTTTCGTATTTTTGTAACTGCTGAGACTGCAATTACCAATGAGGGAAGGAGAAAGTTAGGTTATCCAGGAAGGATCATGGTGAAGAGACTCCCCTTTGCACTGGGAGGTAACTGCATTCACCTTGAGGCTCTCCCTAATTTGATTGTAGTGTCCTTGGTAACAGAGAATATATATTAAACATTTATTGTTAATTTTGTTTTCCTGTAATGTTTCTATTGGCTCTGAATTGCCTAAATTTGAGAAAGTGAGATGTAGGTTTTGATGTTTAAGAAATTTAGCTTTATAAATAAGGTAGCTGGATACTCTGCCTCAGTTACTTTCTTTGGTCTCTGTGTTGCATTAAAGATAGAGGCCTGTCTGGGAGCAGTGGCTCACACCTGTATCCCAGCACTTTGGGAGGCCGAGGTGGGTGGATCACCTGAGGTCGGGAGTTGGAGACCAGCCTGACCAACAAGGAGAAATCCTGTCTCTACTAAAAATACAAAATTAGCCGAGTGTGGTGGCGAGCACCTGTAATCCCAGCTACTCAGGAGGCTGAGGCAGGAGAATAGCTTGAACCTGGGAGGCAGAGGTTGCAGTGAGCCTAGATTGCACCACTGCACTCCAGCCTGGACAACAAGAGTGAAACATCATCTCAAAAAAAAAAAGATAGAGGCTTGTTAGATTGTGTAATAAATGAGGTCCATTGTCATGTATGTATATATGTATTGTCTAGATGCAACTGACATCTGAAAAATATTGTCACCAGGTCACTAGCACATATGTAATTAGGCATGTTTCAATTTCAGCAATTTTATTCTGAAGTGTTTCAAAATTAAGGAGACCTCTCTCTGTCTCCCTCTCTCCACTCTCTCTTTGTCTCTCTCCCTCTGTCCTCCGTCTCTTTCTCTCCTTCCCCCAACAAAATATATTTTTAATCTTTCATGCATTCAAATCCTTTCTTTGGTCCCACATGGGCCTTCTTTAGGCTATGTCAAATCACAAGCAGATCAACACTCATTTGCTTTTCTTCATTCCAATATCACGATTTCTAATTCTTAGAATGTTTTTCAAAAACAAATTTGGGTTTCTCTTCTCATGTACACATGTAGCACATTTTTCTCTTATTTTATTTATCTGATAATTTTGGTGTAATATTTGAAAGTAGGGGTTTATATTACAGGCTTTAATAACCATATTGTAATTAAAGACCTAATGAAAACTGTAGCCACGAACAATATACATTTGTAATGTCTGTCTTTTTAAAGGCTTAAAGCACTTTATATTATTTCATATTTTGTGGTCTAGGCAATCTTTCCTACTAAAAATTAATAGTTTGAACATGTAAGTAGAAGTGGTTCAGTCCAACAACAGGTTTTTAAGTAAGTTTTTTATTGCTTGGTAACCCATAGAAAATGTGATTGGATCATAGCACTATTGAGATATTTTAAAGTTATTATATTGCACAATAATTAAGTCTCTGGTAGATTTGTCCAGTAAGTTAAAAATCTTACTCTGACGATGATTTTATGGAAGAAGGGAAGAAAATGGTTAGTGGGTAACTAGTGTTTATTGGAAGAGTCTGAACATTATTTGCATGTTAACCAATATTATTTGCAATTGCCCTCTCCTTCTTTCATGTCCTTGATCTCTACACTTCTCTATTCTGGGATAAGTTGTGCTTTTTTATATTTTGGGGTGCTTTTCCTTTAGACCTATGGCTCGGTCTGGGTCTCTAGAACCATTAGGTTTTTTGGATTCTATTGATTTCTCTTCTTCTTGGATTTATTTCATGCTTGGGTCCTGAATGAATACCTAAGATTCAAACACTGGACTAGGTATGTGCAGTTCAAAAGCAATTGTAAGAGGATAGAGTAGAGAATAGAGGAAGCATTTATCTTAAGTGGCCTTAAATACTTTCAAAGGGGAAATATCTCAAAATAAGGAAGGAAAATGAGAAAGGAAATTTACAAGAGAAATTAACAAGAGACCGATTAGTTTATGCAATATGCCCGGGAACTTCCACGGAGACTTTGAGATTTGAGATTAAATCATCCATGGAGACAATGACTCTTTAAAAATTAGCCAATTATGTTATTCACTGAATGTGTTGATGATCTAAGAATTTTTAATGCTCTTACACTAATGAAATTGCAGCACTATATTAGAATCTGCAAGGTTGCTAGCTTCATTTATATATATACATATATATTCAGACATTGAGTCCAGAGGTAGAAAATAAATCAGGTGAAATAATAAACCAACTTAACATAAATTTAAGTTTATTTTCTAACAATAATTTTATGTTTTGCAGATTAAGAATTAAAAGTATAGAAATTTTAAACGTTAGACTAATGTTATCCATAGATTGCAGAAACGTCACCTCAATCTCTTCAATAATTAAGAAGCCAAATTAACCTAAACCAAGAACATTTACTTAAAAGGAGAAAAAGAAGTAGTATCTTTGTTAATAGTAGAGTAAATAGAATCACTAAACTGTGTTTGGCTGTTTAAGTAGAATTAATCGAACAAATTGGTAACATAGACTAGAGAATATAAATTTACATTAGGTAATTGATAAATATTTGTTGAATGTTGAATGACTAGTAGCTACCTTTTGTCAACTATAATTATTTTTATAAAACAGATTTAACTAATGTCTTTCTGTTTAATTAAAATTACTTTAACTGTAATCCTCAATGGCCCATACGTTCGCAGAAAATGAATATTTCAAGCATATTTTTTGTTGCCATTTTTCTTTTTATGTTTTATGTATTTTCTTCCTCTTTTAAAGTTATTTGTTCCCTTTGAGCAAGAATATTATTCTGTATATTTCCACAATTCCCCAAATTTCTGTATGATTTCTCTATAGATAATAGGGATTCTGTAAGTATATATTCCATAATAGAAGAATGAATAACTGAACTAATTAATGTTTGGGCTGTCAAAATACTATTAACATTTTTGCTCTAGAAAATGAAAGGTAGAATGTTAAAACATGCATAATTCAATTTGATTCGATTCAATTCAATTCAATTTCGCATATATTTACTAAGGTCCCACTATCTTGACACTCAATAAAACTGTTACAGGCACTCATTATGAACCTAATTCAATTTTTTAAAGTGGCATTTAAAAAAAATAAGACAGGTAAGCATACCATAGACAATATAATCATTCACCTTATATAGAAATAATAAGAACTATTTGTGGAAGCATTGGGATATTTATATATCTCCAAGAAAAAATATATTTTAAAATGCTGAATACATTATTGATAATATTTTAAAACATTATAACAGTATAATTTATACATTACATACCTAGTAGTTTTTTCCAAATTTACATTTAATAAATTACCTCAAGCAGCCTTTTCTATATAATAATTTAAGCTATCAGGCCACTGGATATCTATAGAACATATTTTATTCATAATTTTCCTGAGGAATAACTACTGGTGTATTTTCTCTAGCCCTGCTCTGTCTGCCTAAGTCTAAAGCAAAAACTTAATAAATTATAGTCAATGAGGGATTCGACAAAGTGCAATAATTGGAAATTGCTAATAATCTGTTTCTAATTTGTATTAGAAAAGAAAAATGAGATGAGCCATTGAATGTATTTAAAAATGAATTGCAGTCAGTGTGTATAGTGGCTAACAAGCTTTCAAGCATGGATCATACAAAAGTTAATAATACATACTTAAAAAGCAGAACAAAGCCTTTATAAATTTTAGAGGAAGATTTTCCAAAATGAATGATAAGGAAGCGTGTTAGTTCAGGCAACTTATTGCATTTTTTAATGTGGAATAAATTCTGATTTTGTGAAGTTTTATGAGGAAGAAAACGATAATGTCATTTACCTGAGGTTTTGTATTACCCTATCTCAAAAAATACCAAAGCTGCATTACAATTATTATAAAGAAACAAAAAGACTTTGTTCTTCCATATTTTTATAGAAAAAAAACCATATACATTAAAAAATTATTTAAAAATTAACAATATGGCAAATTGTAGTGGAAATATTTAGCAGTTATTTCCTTGAACTATTAATTACCTAGAAGTAATTGATTTGTTCAAATTACAAATTCAAGAAATTTTTTCAGTGTATTATTTAAGCAAAACAATAATTAGTGTGACATTTTTTCTCACTAAATACATAATCTTGAAATTCTACTTCACAGTCAGATAATGGCATTATCAAGTCCTAAAACTCAAGTTCAAACCAAGTAAGTTTACATGCATTATTTTCTGCTCCCTTAATTACAAGCCTATTTCACAGGATGGACTTTTCTTCCTTTTAGTACTATTTAACATTGTATATTAAAGCATACATAAAATTAATTAAGTTAATGTCAGAATTTTAAAAAACATACAAAAGATCTCTCACATGTTTTTATTTCTATATCCTTCCTACTCAAAATACTTAAATACCATCTTTGTATTTTGAATTGAAGTTGAGAATTTAGTACAGATAATTTATTTATGTCAGATTATTAAATATACTCAAGAAAATCTCTTTTGTATATCAACAACAAACTGTTTGCTGGAGAAAATCTTCCTTGGAAGAAGAGAACAAAAATGGCTGTGTATTAACTTATACACGAGGAACACTCTTTTGATTTCTAATTCCAGACCTCTGAATTTGATGTAGAGTTTAGGTGATCAAAATAAAAAGTTTAATGATGTCCAATTTTTATCTAAATGGATTTACTCTGGTTTAAGATCATATTGGCACATCTATGCATTGCTTCTCACCACTAATGAAGCAATAACTAGATAGGTAGGCTGTGATGGATGGGAAACTACAAATTACAAAACACAAACCCAAAACAGGTTAATCTTGATTGGAACTCTGAATGTATTGCCAGCTTTATCCCAGACTTCGCACTGTGCTCCAACCACGTGGAAAATTCTGTCATTATTTTCCGTGTCCCAATCCACTCTCTCCCAGCTCCAAATACACAATTACAAACACATTTAATCTATACAGTTCCTTCTCAACTTTCATATGACAAAGAATGCAAACCTCTCTCCCACAGCCACCCTAATTTGGAAATTTCCTTATATTAGTTTCTAATTTCTTTTTGAATGAATCAAATATCACCATTTCAGTTAAATATGTTTTTATATAAATATTTACCTTTACCAGTCTATCTAGAGATATAGAGAGAAGTGTGTCTATAAAATGAATTAATTATATAAGTAATAGGTATGTTCATATATCCAATTGTGATATAGATATAGTGCTATTTTGTATATTATATGATATTATATTAGAATTAAATATATATATATTTATATTTCAACAACCACTTCTAACAACAAATCTTAATCATAATCCTAGTATTTAGTAAAGTGCCTTGATCAGAGGCCATTCTAAAAAATAGTCGTTGTGTGAATGAATGTGTTTACAAGTGTAAGTTTGAAACCAACCTCCCCTCTCACTATCTCAACTACTTGGAATAGGTTACATCAAAGCTTTGTATTGTACTTATCTGTAAAATGGGAACAAGAGTAACATCATGTAGGATTTTTAGGAAGACTTAAATAAGACCACAGGATTGTGCAGCTTTCGAGGCACAATTCATGTGTATCTGTGAGAATTGTTTCCCCTGCAGCTTTTTTTAAAAATAATGTGCTTAGAGTTGTTTTATTTTATTTTTTATTGAGGCATAATATTTGCATATAAAAAAGGAGTACATGTGAATTTTGGTACATGCATACAATGTGTAATGATCAAACCTGGGTAAGCAGGTTATCCATCACCTCAAATATTTATCATTCTCTTTGTGTTAGGAACATTTCAAGTCTTCTCTCTCTTGTCTTCTAAAATATATTTTTTAAAATAAATATACCATAAATTCTTGTTGACTATAGTTTCCCTACAATGCTACCATGCATTGAGACTTATTGCTTTTATCTCATTGTATTTTTTGATCAATCTTTTTCCATCCTTGCTCCATTTCCCAGCCTCTCGTAACCCCCATTCTACTCACTAGCTTCATTTATATGGTAGCTCCCACATATAAATAAGAACATACAATCCTTGTGTTTCTGTCCTTGGCTTATTTTACTGAATACAGTATCTTCCAGATCCCTCGATTTGCTGTAAGCTGTATGAAGGGTCCTCAAAAAACTAAAAATAGAACTACCACATAATCCAGAAATCCCATTGTTGGGTATTTGTTGTGTAGTTTAAAAACAAGGTGATCCTGAGATGAAATAGGTTATACATAACTTTTTACAATATAATAATTTTTTATTATACTTTAAGTTCTAGGGTACATGTGCACAACGGGCAGATTTGTTACATATGTATACATGTGCCATGTTGGTGTGCTGCACCCATCAACTCATCATTTACATTAGGTGTATCTCCTAATGCTATCCCTGCCCCTTCCCCCCACCCCATGACAGGCCCCGGTGTGTGATGTTCTCCACCCGGTGTCCAAGTGTTCTCATTGTTCAGTGCCCACCTATGAGTGAGGACATGCGGTGTTTGCTTTTCTGTCCTTGCGATAGTTTGCTGAGAATGATGGTTTCCAGCTTCATCCATGTCCCTACAAAGGACATGAACTCATCCTTTTTATGGCTGCATAGTATTCCATGGTGTATATGTACCACATTTTCTTAATCCAGTCTATCATTGATGGAGATTCCAAGTCTTTGCTATCGTGAATGGTGTCGCAATAAACATAAGTGTGCCTGTGTCTTTATAGCAGCATGATTTATAATCCTTTGGGTATATGCCCAGCAATGGGATGGCTGGGTCAAATGGTATTTCTAGTTCTAGATCCTTGAGGAATCGCCACATTGTCTTCCACAATGGTTGAACTAGTTTACAGTCCCACCAACAGGGTCAAAGTGTTCCTATTTCTCCACATCCTCTCCAGCACCTGCTGTTTCCTGACTTTTTAATGATCGCCATTCTAACTGGTGTGAGATGGTATCTCATTGTGGTTTTGATTTGCATTTCTCTGATGGCTAGTGATGATGAGCATTTATTCATGTGTCTGCTGGCTGTATAAATGTCTTCTTTTGATAAGTGTCTGTTCATATACTTTGCCCACTTTTTAATGGGGTTGTTTGATTTTTTCTTGTAAATTTGTATAAGTTCTTTGTAGATTCTGGATATTAGCCCTTTGTCAGGTGGGTAGATTGCAAAAATTTTATCCCATTCTGTAGGTTGCCTGTTCACTCTGATGGTAGTTTCTTTTGCTGTGCAGAAGCTCTTCATTTTAATTAGATCCCATTTGTCAATTTTGGCTCTTGTTGCCATTGCTGTTGGTGTTTTAGACATGAAGTCCTTGCCCATGCCTATGTCCTGAATGGTATTGCCTAGGTTTTCTTCTAGGGTTTTTATGGTTTTAGGTCTAACATTTAAGTCTTTAATCCATCTTGAATTAATTTTTGTATAAGATGTAAAGAAGGGATCCAGTTTCAGCTTTCTACATATGGCTAGCCAGTTTTCCCAGCACCATTTATTAAATAGGGAATCAGATTGTCCTTGTTTGCAGATGACAATATTGTATATTTAGAAAACCCCAATGTCTCAGCCCAACATCTCTTTAAGCTGATAAGGAACTTCAGCGAAGACTCAGGATACAAAATCAATGTGCAAAAATCACAAGCATTCCTATACACCAATAACAGACAAACAGAGAGCCAAATCATGAGTGAACTCCCATTCACAATTGCTTCAAAGAGAATAAAATACCTAGGAATTCAACTTACAAGGGATGTGAAGGACCTCTTTAAGGAGAACTACAAACCACTGATCAACGAAACAAAACAGGACACAAACAAATGGAAGAACATTCCATATTCATGGATAGGAAGCATCTATATTGTGAAAATGACCATACTGCCCAAGGTAATTTATAGATTCAATGCCATCCCTATCAAGCTACCAATGACTTTCTTCACAGAATTGGAAAAAATTTCTTTAAAGTTCATATGGAACCAAAAAAGAGCCTGCATCGCCAAGACAATCCTAAGCCAAAAGAACAAAGCTGGAGGCATCACACTAACTGACTTTGAACAATACTACAAGGCTACGGTAACCAAAACAACATGGTACTGGTACCAAAACAGAGATATAGACCAATGGAATAGAACAGAGCCCTCAGAAATAATACCACACATCTATAAACATCTGATCTTTGACAAACCTGACAAAAACAAGAAATGGGGAAAGGATTTCCTAAACTTTTTTTTTTTTTTTGAGATGGAGTCTTGTTCTGTTGCCCAAGCTGGTGTTCAGTGGTGCAATCTCAGCTCACTGCAACCTCCACCTCCCAGGGGCTCAAGCAATTCTCCTGTCTCAGCCTCTTGAGTAGCTGAGACTAGAGGTGCACACCACCGGGCCTAGCTAATTTTTGTATGTTTAGTAGAGATGAAGTTTCGCCATGTTGGCCAGGCTGGTCTCGAACTCTTGACCTCAGGTTATCTGCCTGCCTCAGCCTCCCAATGTCCTGGGATTATGGATGTGAGCCACCATTCCTGGCCTAAACTTTTAAGATTCCATTATGATGCTACTTCATTTTTCAAGATATATTGTCATATAATTATATGTCATGCATATAGCTATCACATTATTGATTCCATAATTTAGTTTCCATTATTGTGATTTCAGAGTAACTATTGTCCAACCCCATAAAATTTGTTAAAGCATTCTCAGAATTGAAGCAAACCTTAAGAGTATTCTACCTCCATACAAAGCAAGAATGTACTTGAACAATATTATAGCTGCAGTCTTGGTTTTGATTTTTAACAATAGGGGAATTTACTGGAAATAACACTGAGTTGAATTTTAAATATGGTGGAAGAGGAAATAGAAAGCAGAAAAGACAAGTGTTTTATTTGTGAGTTCATTTGATTCAAGTCTTATTAAATTATACAACTTCAACTTGTACATACCTGTGCTTAATACATTCAGGGTTAGAGCTGGTGGCAAAATATGTCATTGCCAAATATTAAAGCTGATTGTAAGTTGACTACACATAGAGTAAACAGACATTCCAGTTTTCCCTGAACAGCCTTGGTTCATGCCCATTTTCAAGTACAAATTATTAATAGTATGCCCTTTCATTCTCACAATACCCAGCTGGGTGATAAATTACACAGCTCTCTTAATTACAAAGGTATGCTCACATACTGTATTGCAACTTGAATAAGAAGCTGTTTGGTTGCAAATCAGATAAACTCAATATGAATTAGCTTAGGAAAAAGAAGATTTCTTGGGTCTTAAATCTGAAATACAGAAATTGAGGAGCACAGCTGGTATCAAGGACTTTTCCATATTATACTATTTTTAATTCATGTGTTCCAAGTACAAACCAAAATTCTGTCATTAATTGTTAGGGTTTTTTCTTTAACTTTTGTGAAATCTCTTACAAATCATAGTCATGGCATGGTTTTACCCACTACTAAATGTGTTCATGTATTTTAAAAAACAATTTGATAGTTTAACTCACTAAATTACATGCCATACAGATCTTGTTTCTGCAAAACAAAACCAAGCAAAAACGGTGATCATTGACATACAAAAGTTTACTTGATTGTTGGATTATGGTGACAATCTCTTCTCCTCTCCCTCTCTTCCTCCCTCCCTCTCTTCTATATTTCTCTTTCTCTGCCTTTTTCTCCCCCTTTTGTGTAATTGTGCATATATATGTGTGTGTGTTCACACACATATATAGAATGAACAATTGAATAAATACACACAAAACAATTACAAAATTTTACCATATACTAATAGAAAAGTAGTCTTAACACATATAAAAGGACTGAAAATACAGGAGAACTAAGCCAGGAAAATTTTCTCTCTCTCTCTCTATAGATATAGAAATAGATATAGACAGATAGATATAGATATAGATATTATATATATATATATAAAATACAGTTTTGGTTTTGATTTTTTATATATATTATATATAATACTTACAGTATTGGTTTTTTTATACATATATATATATATATATATATAGAGAGAGAGAGAGAGAGAGAGAGAGAAAGGGTGAGAGAGAGAGAGACAGAGAGATAATTTGCATAGGTCAAGAAAAATTCCTGATAACCTTAGATAACATTTTGTAGTAAATTATAATTAAATATAACCTATCATAATGTGTGAAATATTGCTTTTACTTCAGACACAGAAAATTACAATATTTCATCTAACAGTTAGAAAAATCCAATAACTTCCAAATATTAACTTTACTTGGACCCTTCAAAAATCTATGGCCACCATTCAATTTAGAGAATTGAATTTCAAACAATGTTCAGTTCCTCTGAAGAGTTATGGAACACATACTGTTTCAACTCTGACAGAGCATGGCAGGAAGATTAGGCCAATATAAAAGCAGAACTCTCTCTGTGTGTGTGTGTGTGTGTGTGTGTGTGTGCATGTGTATTTATTTACCTTGACTATATGACTACTTCTTTGTATGTTTAAAGAGTAGTAGTTTTCTACATATGGCTGGTCAGTTTTCCCAGCACCATTTATTAAATGGGGAATCCTTTCCCCCATTTCTTGTTTTTGTCAAGTTTGTCAAAGATCAGATGGTTGTAGATGTGCGGTATTATTTCCAAGGGCTCTATTCTGTTCCATTGGTCTATATCTCTGTTTTGGTACCAGTACCATACTGTTTTGGTTACTGCAGCCTTGCAGTATAGTTTGAAGTCAGGTAGCAAGATGCCTCCAGCTTTGTTCTTTTGGCTTAGGATTGTCTTGGCAATGCAGGCTCTTTTTTTAGTTCCATATGAACTTTAGTTTTTTCCAATTCTGTGAAGAAAGTCATTGGTAGCTTGATGGCGATGGCATTGAATCTATAAATTACCTTGGGCAGTATGGCCATTATCACAATATTGATGCTTCCTATCCATGAATATGGAATGTTCTTCCATTTGTTTGTGTCCTCTTTTATTTTGTTGAACAGTGGTTTGTAGTTCTCCTTGAAGAGGTCCTTCACATCCCTTGTAAGTTGGATTCCTAGGTATTTTATTCTCTTTGAAGCAATTGTGAATGGGAGTTCACTCATGATTTGGCTCTCTGTTTGTCTCTTATTGGTGTATAGGAATGCTTGTGATTTTTGCACATTGATTTTGTATCCTGAGACTTTGCTGAAATTGCTCATCAGCTTAAGGAGATGTTGGGCTGAGACGATGGGGTTTTCTAAATATACAACCATGTCATCTGCAAACAGGGACAATTTGACTTCCTCTTTTTCTAATTGAATACCCTTTATTTCTTTCTCTTGCCTGATTGCCCTGGCCAGAACTTCCAACACTATGTTGAATAGGAATGGTGAGAGAGGGCATCCCTATCTTGTGCCAATTTTCAAGTGGAATGCTTCCAGTTTTTGCCCATTCAGTATGATATTGGCTGCGGGTTCGTCATAAATAGCTCTTGTTATTTTGAGATACGTCACCTCAATACCTAGTTTATTGAGAATTTTTAGCATGAAGGGCTGTTGAATTTTGTCAAAGACCTTTTCTGCATCTATTGAGATAATCATGTGGTTTTTGTCTTTGGTTCTGTTTATATGATGGATTATGTTTATTGATTTGTGTATGTTGAACCAGCCTTGCATCCCAGGGATGAAGCCAACTGATTGTGCTGGATGATCTTTTTGATGTGCTATTAGATTCGGTTTGCCAGTATTTTATCGAGGATTTTTGCATCGATGTTGATCAGGGATATTGGCCTGAAATTCTCTTTTTTTGTGTGTCTCTGTCAGGCTTTGGTATCAGGATGAGGTTGGCCTCATAAAATGAATTAGGGAGGATCCCCTTCCTTATACCTTATAAAAAATTAATTCAGGATGGATTAAAGACTTAAATGTTAGACTTAAACCATAAAAACCCTAGAAGAAAACCTAGGCAATACCATTCAGGACATAGGCATGGGCAAGGACTTCATGACTAAAACACCAAAAGCAATGGCAACAAAAGCCAAAATTGACAATTAGGATCTAATTAAAATGAAGAGTTTCTGCACAGCAAAAGAAACTACCATCAGAGTGAACAGGCAACCTACAGAATGGGATAAAATTTTTGCAATCTACCCATCTGACAAAGGGCTAATATCCAGAATCTACAAAGAACTTAAACAAATTTACAAGAAAAAATCAAACAACCCCATTAAAAAGTGGGCAAAGTATATGAACAGACACTTCTCAAAAGAAGACATTTATACAACCAACAGACACATGAAAAAATGCTCATCATCACTAGCCATCAGAGAAATGCAAATCAAAACAACAATGAGATACCATCTCACACCAGTTAGAATGGCAATCATTTAAAAGTCAGGAAACAACAGGTGCTGGAGAGGATGTGGAGAAATAGGAACACTTTGACCCTGTTGGTGGGACTGTAAACTAGTTCAACCATTGTGGAAGACAGTGTGGTGATTCCTCAAGGATCTAGAACTAGAAATACCATTTGATCCAGCCATCCCATTACTGGGCATATACCCAAAGGATTATAAATCATGCTACTATAAAGACACATGCACACATATGTTTGTTGCAGCAGTATTCACAATAGCAAAGACTTGGAACCAACCCAAGTGTCCATCAATGATAGACTGGACTGAGAAAATGTGGCACATATACACCATGGAATACTATGCAGCCATAAAGAAGGATGAGTTCATATCCTTTATAGGGACCTGGATGAAGCAGGAAACCATGATTCTGAGCAAACTATCGCAAGGACAGAAAAGCAAACACTGCAAGTTCTCACTCATAGGTGGGCATTGAACAATGAGAACACATGTACACAGGGTGGGGAACATCCCACTCTGGGGCCTGTCATGGGGTGGGGGGAGGGAGTAGGGTTAGCATTAGGAGATATACCTAATGTAAATGATGAGTTGATGGGTGCAACACACCAACATGACACATGTATACATGGCACATGTATACATATGTAACAATGTGCAAATGTATGCATATGTAACAAACCAGTTACATATGTATACATATGTAACAAACCAGTTACATATGTATACATATGTAACAAACCAGTTACATATGTATACATATGTAACAAACCAGTTACATATGTATACATATGTAACAAACCAGTTACATATGTATACATATGTAACAAACCTGTTACATATGTATACATATGTAACAAACCTGTTACATATGTATACATATGTAACAAACCTGTTACATATGTATACATATGTAACAAACCTGTTACATATGTATACATATGTAACAAACCTGTTACATATGTATACATATGTAACAAACCTGTTACATATGTATACATATGTAACAAACCTGCACATGTATACATATATAACAAACCTGCCCGTTGTGCACATGTACCCTAGAACGTAAAGTCTAATAAAAAAAAAGAGTAGTAGTTGTAGCAAGAACACTAAGACACTAAGCTAAAGGGGAAAGAAGTAGTATCATGATGTGTAACCCTGACACTCTTTTGATAGAGTCTACTAAACTTTCTCTACGAAATTTTTCAGTAAAATAAAATATTATGTCATTAAGCTTAATATATTTTGCTATAGGTCATTTCAGTCTTTTCAATTTATGTCAGGGTGAACATAAATGTGTCTACTATTATTGTTATCTAATTAACAAAAATAATTAGGGAAGTTTTACTTCCTTTATCAGGTATATGAAACAAAATAAAATAAGTAGCTATAGAACAGAAAATGACAATGTGGCATTTGACAAGAAATCTAATTATTTACCTAGAAGACCAAATATACCCAACTGAAATATGAAGTACTTAGAAAACTGACTAGAATTTAAAATGAAGAAACAAAAGATTTTGTAGATTTCCTATAAACACCAGTGGGAAAAATTTTAAAAATAACTTCTTTATGTTAATTAGTTAAAAAGATAATAATAAAATCTTATTTACTATGGGAAGAACAAAATATGGAATAAAATTAATAACATTTGTAAAGCACCTATTAATATTTCCTGAAAGACAAAATGAATATTTGTATACTAAACCTTGTATGGATGTCAGTTTTCTGTGAATTAATTTATATATTTAAAGACATTTCCATCAGGCACGATGGCTCATGCCTGTAATCCCAGCCCCTTGGGAGGCCGAGGCAGGGAGATCACCTTAGGTCAGAGTTTGAGACCAGACTGGCCAACATGGTGCAACCTCATCTCTACTTTAAAAATGCAAAATTAGCTGGGCATGGTGGTGCATGCCTGTAATCCCAGTTACTTGGGAGGCTGAGGCAGGAGAATTGCTTCAACCCCGGAGGCAGAAGTTGCAGTGAACTGAGATTGCACCTTTGCACTCCAGCCTGGGTGACAAGAGTGAAATCCATCTCAAAAAAATTTTTTTTCAATCAAATTATTTATTATAAATTTTATCATTCTAAGGTTTAATTAGAAGTATAAAATGTGAGAGCTGAAACGAAATGTTGAGAAAAAGGGCAGAATGGTGAAATAAATTTAATAATAGTAAAATAAAATAGAAACATTTAACAATCAGTATGGTACCACTGGCATGAGATTTGAAATTAATCAAAGGTTCAGAAAAAATAAACAGAAATAAAACCCTTGAACTCATGTAGTTAAATATAGGTAAATATGCCAGCAATTTTCTCTTCTTCATCAATGAGAAATTTGGATAATCCATCTTGGCATATTTTCCTTCTAAGTCCTAACATGAACTCCAATTTCTTTCATCGTACTGCTTATTCACAGCCATTGCCTTCTGATTAAAATTGGCACTCAAGATAAAGACTTATTAGCATTGTCTGTCCTAATTTAATAAATATAGAGATTTAGTAAAATAAACCATACTCTAAATGAACACTAAGTAAAGACTCTTCAGAAATTAATTATTTGGGAAAAAAATATAATTCTGTCACTTCACATTTTATACAGGAGCAAATCATAATAAAGTTAAAATAGCTAAAATTTATAGTTTTTACCATATAAAAGAAAAAAATATATTGCTGATATATAACTGAAGTTTGTTTAGGAATTCTAAGAGGTAATCTTAAAGACAAAATACATAGTATCTTTTAAAAGTATTTTTTAAAATACTTGCAGTAAATATGTGTATTCAAACATATTAAAATGATAATGAAAAAATTAATTGATATTGATAAAATATCTACAAAATAATAAGCATTTGAAATGTCTCAATCTTAAATACAAAGAGCTTTTGATAAATCAGTGGGCACAAAATTCTCTTTTTAGAAAGGGCTAATTACATGAGTAAATTAATCACAAGTGACAAGACGCATTTATCAGGGTGTTAAAGTATTTCTACTTTAAATACTATAAAAAAATTTAAAATGTATAATTTCTATTTATAACAACCAAAATAAAATAAAGAAGGACGTATATTTTTGAGCAGCAGTTCGTCTTTGTGTTTTATGAATTATAAAATTATTTGTATATATTTCCTTACATACTTATTTTTTATGGTAAGAACACTTAAAATCTACTCTCTTTGGAATTTTGAAGACTACAATATATTGTTCTTAACTATAGTCATTATATTATGCAATAGATCTCTTGAATTTATTCCCCTAATCTAACTAAAGTTTTGTATCCTCTGGCCAACATCTCCCCACTTTACCCTCCCAGTCCCTAGTAACCACTATTTCATTCTCAAAGTCTATGAGCTCAACTTTTTTAGATTTCAAATATAAGCACAATTTACCCTTTCTATGCTATATACATATTTCCAGAAGTGTTGTACATGAGAAGTATATACAATGTAAATTCAATTTAAATTTCAAAAATCTGATTGTCTCTTATATTTATTTTATGTAAGAGAAAATTGTTAAAGATATGTTAATATGTATGTTTTAAACATATAATGCTATATACAATATACATGTATGTGAATGTTCTAATCATGTTTGTTTTATATTTTTATGTTTTATATTTATATTTAAACATATATTTATATGTTTTATATTTATATATTTAGAACACTCACATACACATTGTGACTTCCAAAAATGGGAAAACAAAAATTTGGAGAAGAAAAATAATTTTCATTTCTCAAAACGAGTCCACAATTACTTATCTAGAAATTTAAGTCGAGAGTTATTTCAGAATTTGGCATTTTCACTTTTTAAAGGTGATGCATTACATAGACGGCATATTGCATAACACTCTGATAGGGTCTATGGCAGCACATGCTAATCAAAAATATCAGTATGAATATTCACTACAAGGACTATAGAATAAAAACTATAATACTCTTCCATCATTCATATCAGGTTTAGCTGCCAAATGAAATTGCAGCAAACTTATGACAAACACTTTATAAATAAGGAATTCTGGACGTGTGCTTGGGCAAGCCCAGAAAAGGAATCTATTCTCTTCCCACTGATTCTTTTCATGCCACAGCGTTTCTCTCTAGTGTTGGGAAATTTATTCATTGTCTTGACATCCCACTTGAAAAAGAGACAGATTACAACTTTACAACATCAGAAGTATCATCATCAATCATTTCACGCACCAGAGGTCTTTGTATTCCAAAGGCTTTGTGGTGTTATAGTGGCTAAAACATATAATGTCCTTTGGTTTAGAAGAGAATATTGGGTTAGAAATTTATGCCACTCTTGTTCAATTACTATCTCTTTGAAATCTACTTCCACATATTTGAGAATTAAAAAAGAGTATGGCTTAATAAATATTTAAAAATGCTCTTCTAGCTAACGGGTGTTGAGCTTAATATCTAGGCAATGGGATGATATGCACAGCAAACCACGATGGCACACGTTTACCTGTATAACAAACCTGCACATGCTGCCCGTGTACCCCTGAACTTAAAAGTTGAAGAAAAAAATACTCTTCTAAACTGTCATACAGCAGACAATATGATATTAGACATTTTCACTCATAATCTATTCTCCCTGTATGAAATTTTGTTAGATCTTACTGTGTCTGCCACTCGGTAGAATAAAATATTTGTTTTTGAAAGAGTAAAACATTTTACTTAGAATGTCTTCTCAAGAAATATAATTTTTGTATGATAATAAAAATATATTAATCCATCTGTTTTGGAAACAAGATATAGAAATCCAATTAGTTAACAGTAAAACCTTATTGAATACATACTAAAGCCAGGCAATGGGCTGATAATTTTACCTAGATAATATCAAATTGATCATAAAAATATTTCTAGATATAGTAGGTGACTTTAATATATTTGCCTTACCTGTGAGAAATGGGGGCTTCAATAGATGAAACAGATTACACAAAATCACAAGGATAACATGAGATATAGGTAGAATTCTGATTCCCGACACAAGTGCCCTTATAACCACTGAAATATACAACTGTTCTTGAAAAAATATAGAAGCTTTCCTCCTACTGGAGACACAACGAGAGCTTTCCCTGACATTCACCTTAAGGGATCTGACTTTGATAAAGTAAGACTTTTAAATGCAGAGTACTTGGCAAGAGATTCCTTACAGCTACATTTTCTGAGAAGAACTTGGGTAGTAGACAGGCAGAAAGAGTGCCCTTTCTGGCTTTATATACTCTGGCAAAATTGTCCTTGAGGAAAAAGTCTAAAAAACACATTGGAATTGGTTATAATTAAGCAGGATTTTACTAGGAATACATCTTTATTAATCTGCCCTTTTTATTTAGCAGTTTATAAAGCTGCTGCTCTAGTTGATAGAGCTGGAGAATTTTTGGACTTTCTGATATCTGTAACTACTTTAAAATAATATATTTTCACCTCTTTCAATTAGAAAAGCTTATATCTCTTTATGTAGAAATATATATTTTGTATTGGAAGTAATTTGGAGTAAATAAAACTATCCTGGTCGTCAGTTTTTAAAGGCAGTGATAAATTCTAAAACACATGGAGTAGCAAATGTTATATTATTCATACCAAATAAACTGAGTGACCACAATAATGTTAGAACATAATGAAAATGAGATATTTATTATGTTACGCAACCTACTCTTGTACTATGTAATGCCACATCCTGTCTATAGCAATCAAAATTACAGAAATATTTATTGTGGAAATATTCATCTCAACTCATGCCCTAAAGGTGGACACATTTTGCATATTGTATTCATTTTGCGTGTTATTAAAAAATTTAACCAACCAGTCACAGATCCGTTTCACTTAATCTACAGGCGTACCTCATTTTATTTATTTATATATTTATTTTATTTTATTTTATTTTTTTGAGACAGAGTCTCTCTCTGTCACCCAGGCTGGAGTGCAGTGGCGCAATCTCGGCTCACGGCAAGCTCCACCTCCTGGGTTCACACCATTCTCCTGCCTCAGCCTCCCGAGTAGCTGGGACTACAGGAATCCGCCACCACACCCGGCTAATTTTTTGTATTTTTAGTAGAGACAGGATTTCACCGTGTTAGCCAGGATGGTCTCGATCTCCTGACCTCGTGATCCACCCGCCTCGGCCTCCGAAAGTGCTGGGATTACAGGCGTGAGACACCCCGCCTGGAGAGGGATACCTCATTTTAATGTGCTTTACTTTATTGTACTTTTCAGATATTGTATTTGTTTTACAATTGGAAGGCTGTGGCAATATTGTGTCAAGCAAGTCTTTTGGCACCATTTTTTTTTTTCAGCAGCAGGTGATGATTTCATGTCTGTCACATTTTGGTAATTCTCACAATATTTCAAACTTTCATTATTATTATATTTCTTATAGTGATCTGAGAAGAGTGATATTTGATGTTACTATTGTCATGGTTTTGGGGCACCACAAACCAAACCCATATAGGAAGAAACACATAATTGATAAGTTTTGTGTGTGTTCTGACTGCTCCATGGGCTAGCTTTCCTCCATCTGTCTCCCCCTCCTCAGGCCTTCTTATTTCCTAAGGCACAGTAATACTGAAATCAGGTCAATTAATAACCTTACAATGGCCTCTAAGTGTTTAAGTGAGAGTCTCACCTCTCTTGCTTTAAAGCAAATGTTAGGTATAATTAAACTTAGTAAGGAAGGCATGTTGAAAGCCAAGAGAAGCTAAAAGCTAGGCCTCTCGCACCACACAGCCTATTGTGAATGCAAAGGAAAAGTTCCCAAATGAATGTAAAAGTGCTCTGGGTATATACCCAGTAATGAGATAAATCATGCTGCTATAAAGACACATGCACATGTATGTTTATCGCGGCTCTATTCACAATAGCAAAGACTTGGAACCAACCCAAATGTCCAACAATGATAGACTGGATTAAGAAAATATGGCACATATACACCATGGAATACTATGCAGCCATAAAAAATGATGAGTTCATGTCCTTTGTAGGGACATGGATGAAATTGGAAATCATCATTCTCAGTAAACTATCGCAAGAACAAAAAACCAAACACCACATATTCTCACTCATAGGTGGCAATTGAACAATGAGAACACATGGACACAGGAAGGGGAACATCACATTCTGGGGACTGTTGTGGGGTGGGGGGAGGGGGGAGGGATAGCTTTAGGAGATATACCTAATGCTAAATGACAAGTTAGTGGGTGCAGCACACCAGCATGGCACATGTATACATATGTAACTAACCTGCACATTGTGCACATGTACCCTAAAACTTGAAGTATAATAATAATAAAATAAAAAAAAAAGAAAGTAAAAGTGCTGCTCCAGTGAACACACAGATGATAAGAATGTGAAACTGCTTTAGTGCTGATATGGAGAAAGTTCTAGATAGAAGAGCAAACCAGCCACAACATTCGCTTAAGCCAAAACAATGCAGAGCAGGCCCCTAACTCTCTTCAATTGTGTGAAGGTTTAGAGAGGTGAGAAAGCCTCAGAAGAAAAGTTTGAAGCTAGTAAAAGTTGGTTCTTAAAATTTAGAGAAGGAAGGCTCGGCACAGTGGCTCATACCTGTAATCCCAGCACTTTGGGAGGCTGAGGTGGGTGGATCACTAGAGGTCAGGAGTTCGAGACCAGCCTGGCTAACATGGTGAAACCCGTCTCTACTAAAAAATATAAAGATATAGCCAGGTTTGGTGGCACTCGCCTGTAATCCCAGATTCTCAGGAGGCTGAGGCAGGAGAATCACTTGAACCTGGGAAGCAAAGTTTGCAGTGAGCTGAGATCACACCACTGTACTCCAGACTGGGTGACAGAGTGAGACTCTGTCTCAAAAATATATATATAATATATATATATTATATAAATATATAAATATATAATATATTTATATATTTATATTTATATATTATATATATTATATAAATATATAAATATATAATATATTTATATATTTATATATAATATATATTTATATATAAATATAAATACAATATATTTATAAATATATATTTATAAATATATAAATATAAATATAATATATTTATAAATATATATTTATAAATAAATATAAATATAAATATAAACTTTATGGCTTCTCAGTATATATAAAAGTTATGTTTACATTGTACTGCAGCCTATTAAATGTGCAATAACATCATGTCTAAAAAAAGTACATACCTTAATTTAAAAAATACATTATTTTAAAAAATGCTAACAAACTTTTAAGCCTATAGCAAGCCCAATCTTTTTTTCTGTTGGAGAGCCTTGCCATGATTTGGATGGCGGCTGACTAGTCAAGGGGGTGGTTGGTGACTTGTGGGGTAGTCCTACAAGTCCTACACTCCTAAAACAAAAAAAACAATGAAATTTGCCACATTCATTGATTCTTTCTGTCATGAAAGATTTCTCTGTAGCATGTGATGCTGTTTGATAGCATTTTGTTCACTGCACACCTTCTTTCAAAATTGCAATCAATCCTTTCAAGACCTGCCACTGCTTTATCAACTAAGTTTAGGTAATATTCTAAATCTTTTGTTGGCATTTCAACAATGTTTACAACATATTGACCAGGAGTACATTATGTCACAAGAAACCACTCTCTTTGCTCATCCATAAGGAAAAACTCTCACTCATTCAGACTGAGTGTGTAATATATATATATGTAACATATAATATATATAAAATATATATTATATATTTTACATATTATATCTTATATATAAGATATTATATCTTATATATAAGATATTATATATAAGATATTATATATGATATTATATATGATATTATATAAAAGATATTATATATAAGGTATTATATATAAGATATGTATATATGTATATATGTATATAATATATACATATTACGTATATATGTATATATGTATATAATACATACATACTATGTATATATGTATATAATACATACATATTATGTATATATGTATATAATACATACATATTACGTATATATGTATATATATATAATACATATATATTACGTATATATGTATATAATACATACATATTACGTATATATGTATGTATGTATATAATACATACATATTACGTATATATGTATGTATGTATATAATACATACATATTACGTATATATGTATGTATGTATATAATACATACATATTACGTTTATATGTATGTATGTATATAATACATACATATTACGTATATATGTATGTATGTATATAATACATACATATTACGTTTATATGTATGTATGTATATAATACATACATATTACGTTTATATGTATGTATGTATATAATACATACATATTACGTTTATATGTATGTATGTATATAATACATACATATTACGTTTATATGTATGTATGTATATAATACATACATATTACGTTTATATGTATGTATGTATATAATACATACATATTACGTTTATATGTATGTATGTATATAATACATACATATTACGTATAATGTATGTATGTATATAATACATACATATTACGTATAATGTATGTATGTATATAATACATACATATTACGTATAATGTATGTATGTATATAATACATATTACGTATAATGTATGTATGTATATAATACATACATATTACGTATAATGTATGTATGTATATTATATAATATATATTATATGTATTATATATAATATATAATATACATAATATATATTTTATATGATATATATGATATATAATATATGTAATATATGTTATATAATATATAAAATATATATTATATAAAATATATGTTATATTTGTATATAATATATTATATATAATATATTATATATTTGTATATTATATATTATATATAACATATATAATGTATATATTTGTATATTATATATTATACATAACATATACAATGTATATTATACATAACATATACAATGTATATTATACATAACATATACAATGTATATTATACATAACATATACAATGTATATTATACATAACATATACAATGTATATTATACATAACATATACAATGTATATTATACATAACATATACAATGTATATTATACATAACATATACAATGTATATTATACATAACATATACAATGTATATTATACATAACATATATAATGTATATTATACATAACATATATAATGTATATTATACATAACATATATGCATATATACATATGTATATGTTATATACATATATAATAATATATATTATATATAATACCTCATATCTTATATAAGATAGTATATATTATATATGTAATATCTTATATATGATAGTATATATATTATATGTAATATCTTAGGTATTACATATATAATATATACAATCTTATATATCAGATAGTATATATATAATATATACTATCTGATATATAAGATAGTATATATAATATATAATATATATTTTATATATGTTATATATTACATATATATATATTACACAGTCTGAATGAGTGACAGCTTTTCCTTTTGGCTGAGCAAAGAGAGTGGTTTCTTGTGACATAATGTACTCCTGGTGAATATGTTGTAAACATTGTTGAAATGCCAACAAAAGATTTAGAATATTACCTAAACTTAGTTGATAAAGCAGTGGCAGGTCTTGAAAGGATTGATTGCAATTTTGAAAGAAGGTGTGCAGTGAACAAAATGCTATCAAACAGCATCACATGCTACAGAGAAATCTTTCATGACAGAAAGAATCAATGAATGTGGCAAATTTCATTTTTTTTTGTTTTAGGAGAGTCACAGCTACCCCACAAGTCACCAACCACCCCCTTGACTAGTCAGCCGCCATCCAAATCATGGCAAGGCTCTCCAACAGAAAAAAAGATTGGGCTTGCTATAGGCTTAAAAGTTTGTTAGCATTTTTTAAAATAATGTATTTTTTAAATTAAGGTATGTACTTTTTTTAGACATGATGTTATTGCACATTTAATAGGCTGCAGTACAATGTAAACATAACTTTTATATATACTGAGAAGCCATAAAATTTGTTTGGTCACGTTTTTTGTGATATTTCCTTTACTGTGTTGGTCTAGAACCAAATCAGCAATATCTCCTAGGTATGTCTGTATTTGGTTATTAGAATGGAAAAAAAGATGACTTCAATTTACTCAAGTAAAGGGGCAATCTATTTGAAGATGCTGCTGCTGATGACGTTGATGGTTTATAAAGTTAGAACACAAAATGGCAGTCTGAAACCTAGATTTTTACCTGACATTAACCAGGCCACTCCCTCTACAGTCTACATAAGTTGAATTAAAGGTCGCCTCTAGAATAAATAAACTCTAGCCATTTTCGTCTTACCCTGTTTCACTAACTATTGGAGAATAAAATGAGAGAGATAAACATACACACACACATACACACACATGCACACACATTGCGTGGGGTGTTTAACAAAATTAATCTAAAATCTGTTATTTTGAGAAGTCATCCTGTGCTAGCTCTCTATGTATGTGTATATATACACATACATATATAATAAGCATATATATATAAACACACATACACGCATATATACGGTCCTTTGACATGTCATTCTTCAAGAACTCACAATACATCTTTAAAGTGCTAAGCGTTTTACAAAATATGCATTTATTGATATTTCACTTGAGTATTTCTGAAATTGATTTCCAAGGTAGACACTTCTTCAATTATTGTTTGCCAAATTCCATTTCCCACCAATCCCACAAAAGTGCCATTTCATGATAGTAGCTCCCCTACAGCCTAACTCCCAAAGGAAAATAATACAATATTTCATAACCTGCCTCTTCCTCGCCCCTTAAAATCAAACTCTTTATACTTTGCTTAGAAACATTAGGTCCATCAACCATGTATGCCCTGGGCATCAATTCTATGTAATGACTGAATAAATGCATTGAAATACGGTGAGAATTTTTCCTTCGGGGCTATTAAGGATGGCCTGCATATGCATTTTCCTTTTTCAAACTGGAAAAAAATATGTGTTAAATAGAGAGCAGATTTTTATGGCTAAGATATTCAAGCGGAAGAGAATTGTCTGTCTACAATAGGGAGATTTTTTAGGGGAACTGGCTCATTGGTATTCTAATTACAGGCCAGTTAAATAACCCATCTCTAATAATTACCCCTGAAATTTAGGAAAATGTAAATTAGATTTGCCTTCTATGAAGCCCACATTTCAGTGTGCTAATTTTTCGAGCATAGTCAAGGTAAAAAAAGTTAACTAATTAGAAAATATGTTCATTTTTTAAAGTTTTGTGAGGGCCTCTGCGAGTTCTCATCTTTCTCTTTGAGATTCTTTTTAAACTAAATATGCTAAGGGAAATAAGAACTGTGAATTCAACTAGGTTCATAATGAAAATGACAGCACATGTATTAATGACATTATAATATTGAATACATGTGATATTCAAAAAGGCTCCATTTATTAAGTAAGGTATATTGATGAATTATGCTTTTCTTCCAATTCTAAAACTGGGTTTGTATTATATGTAAACATTTGATATAATGTGTGTCTACGCATGAACCGTGTGATTTTATTTTGATAGTGTCACAATATTACTAGAAAGAGAATATTATGAGTTATTTGCAGAGTCATATAAAATATGATCTCCATTCAAGGAATTGGACTTTATAAAACCAGGTAACTAGACATGCAGAAAACGGACTGAAATTTATCTTGAAAATCATTGGTTAAGACTATAAGCTCCACGTGATAAAATAAAAAAAAGATTTCACCCCAGAGCTTAGTTAAATGTAAGAATATAGTGAGTGGTGGAGAAATAATTTATTAATTACAAGAATATACTGTTTTTTGACCTTTAATATTCTGAATGCTATTAATATTTATTATTATTATATTTGTCAACAACAGCAATGACTTGTTTTATTTTTTACCAATTAAAATTGGATTTCATGGATCAACAGAGTTTGTTGTGGAGTGTTTTCAACACTCTACAGTTATTTACATTTATAACTCCAGTCTTATTTTTTCCTTCTATTCCAAAAAACCTGGATAGCCACAACAATTTATTTTGCATTTTAACCTCCCAGGCCACCAAACATTATAGATAATGCCAATTAGTTTCACCACATAACTTTAATCTCACAGTAATTCTAAACATTATAAGTTTATCTCCAATAACATTTCTCACAAAGGATATTCACTATTTCTCTTTTTCTGTAGTCTCTGAATCTGTGTTCATATATTTTTCTTCCCCTCCTGTTACCACGTATGAACTATGTATGTTGCTAAGGACATCCTCTCTACTTATTAATGTGCTACATTTCACCCCCTTTCACCTATTCAGAAAATATATTATAAAATTATTTTCTTTTTTGCCTGCATTTCTATTGTACTTTCTCCCCCATAGTGTGATAGATTGCAAACTATGGCTCTGTTTTGTCAGACAAGTATGATGCAGCTGGTGAGGTCAGGATTATTGAGGATGTTTTCAGCAAAATGATGCTAATCTAGCCTGGCTAAGGAGAAGAGAAAAGAACTACAGAAAAACATAATAGGTTCAATACATCAGATATCTATAACATTGTTAGAGTTGACACATTAAAGAAAAAAGTGATTATGTGTAAGAATTCAAAAGTTTACATATTTTAGCTATTGTGAATGGTGGGAGTACAGATATCTCTTTGATAAACAGATTTTATTTCTTTTGGATATATTTTTCAGGAGCAGAATTGCAGGATCATATGATATATTATTTTTAGTTTTATAAGGAACCTCCATACAGTTTTCCTTAGTGGCTGTACTAATGTACTTTCCCACCAACAGAGTACGAGGGTTCCCCTTTCTCCACATCTGCACTAACATCTGCTATGGCCTGTCTTTTTGATAAAAGCAATTTTAACTGGGGTGAGATGATAGCTCATCGTGGTTTTGTTGTGTGTTTCCTCGGTTAGTGATGCTCAACATTTTCTCAAATATCTGTTGGTCATTTGTTTGTCTTCTTTTGAGAAATGTCTGTATAGACTTTTGGCCCATTTTTTAATTGTGCTTTTCTTTGGGTATTGAGCTCCTTGTATATTCTGCTGATTAGTCCCTTGTCAGATGGATAGTTGTAAATATTTTCTCCTGTTCTGTGGGTTGTCTATCTTGTTGATTGTTTCTTCTGCTGATCAGAAGTTTTTATGCTTTTTGATGTCATCCCATTTGTTCATTTGTGCTTTGGTCGTCTGTGCTTCAGAAATTGCATGCAAAAAGGCTTTGCCCAGACCAATGTCCTGGAGCATTTCCCCCATGTTTCCTTCAGTAGTTTTCATAATGTCAGGTCCTAGATTTAAGTCTTTAATTCACTTTCATTTTATTTTTGCACATAGTGAAAAATAGGTGTCTAGTTTCATTTTTCTGCATATGAATATTCGTATTTCTCAGCATCATTTATTGAAGATATTGCTCTTTCTCCATTGTATGTTCTTGGCCCCTTGCCAAAGATGAGTTGGCTATAAATGGGTGAATTTATATATGAGTTATATAATCTGTTCCATTGGACTGTATTTCTGGTTACTATAGTTTTGTAGTAAATTTTGAAGCCACACTTTGTTATCCTTCTAGGTTTGTTTTCTTGCTTAGAATTGCTCTGGCTATTCAGGAGCTTTAGCAATTTCATCTACATTTTAGAATAATTTTCTGTTTCTGTAAATAATGTCATTGGCATTTTAATAGGGATTGCATTAAATATGTAAATTGTTTTGAGTGGTATACCAGTTTAACAATATTAATTCTTCCAATCCATGAGCATGGAATATCTTTTAAGTGAAATAAACCAAGCATAGGAATATAAATATTGAATATTTCTGTCTTTTATGTCAGAGCTAAAAGAGTGTATCCCATAAAGATAGAAAGTAGATTGGTGGTTTCCAGAGGCTGGGAAGGGCAGGGGGCGGGGATAATAAAGATAATTGATAGGTACAAATATATTGTTTGATAGATATAATTAGATTTATGTTTAATACATTAGTCGGATGATTATAGTTTACAAAACTCTACTGCACATTTCAATATAGTGTAAAGAACAATTTGAATATTTCTAGCATAAAAAAGACAAAGAATTAAGGTGAAGAAAATCACAACTACACAGACTTGATCTTTATAAATTATATGAATATATTTAATTATCATATGTACCTTGAAACTAGGTACATCTGCTATGCATCAATAAAAGGACTGTTTTATAAAAAATAACATTGGGAAATATTAAATATGTAATATACATGTAGTTGGAATATGAGAAAAATGAATAAGACAATAATATTTGAAGAGCATAACACATTAAAAATAATAATAGCTAATAACTTTCTAAGATTGATTGTCATCAATTCACAGATCTAGGTAGCTCAGATAACTTCAAGCAGAATAATTTCCAAGACAAATGATACACACACACACACACTCCTAAGCATATCATTTTGAAATTGCAGAGAACCATAGATAAAGCAAAAATTTTGAGATAAGCCAGGGCCAGCGTTGAGGGGTGTGGATGGAGAAACTTATGTATAAAACAAAGGTAAGAATGGCAAAGGACGTCTTGTAATAAATCAGGTCAGCAAGAAGAGAGTGCAGTGAAAAAATTAGTGCTGAAAAATAAAACCCGCTAAATTAACATTGTATACCCAGCAAAATTATTCTTTGAAAGCGAAGAAGGAATAAAGGTGTCCTCAGACAATCAGAAAACTGAGTCAATTCATTGCCAGTAGTTATATCTTGCAAGAAGTGTTAAAATATAATATATTTAGAGAGAAGGTAAATGATAGAGGTTAACAACTTGTGTCTACATAGAGAGAGAAGGAACACCACGGAAAACTAAATTGAAGTAAAATATATTTTATGTTTTTAATTTGTAACTTATATCAACTTGTATTTGATATAAAGGTAAAGTTTTGTTAAAAGGAGAAAATAATATTATATTGGATAAGTGAAATGAATGACAGCAATGTCAAAACGGATGGGGGAGAGGAATGGTTAATACACTTTTAGAAGGCTCTGACCTAGACATAGAATAATATCTGAAAGTGAAATTATATTAGTTAAATTTGCACGTGGAAAATTCTTGTGAAGCCAGTGTAAAATATTTCAAATAATTATATTGGAATGCTATAAACGGAGATAAAATAACTTCATGTAAAATATGCACTTGAAGTCAAGGCAGAAAAAGAGGGAACAGTAATTTCACAAATGGAAAATAATTATAAGCATAGTAGATATCAATTCAACTATATCAGTAATCACTTTAAATATGAACCAACTTTATACACCAAATAAAAGTTCCACTATATATCGTCTACAAGATTCCTGTTTTAAATGAAAAGATACAGATAGGGTACATGTTAAAAAACGTTAAAAGATGTCCCGTGCTAACACTAATCCAAAAAAGGCTGAAGTTACAATACTAATTTTAGACAATGCAGAATTAAGAAAAAGAAAGATTAGCAGGGATAAAAGGGATATTAAATAAGAATAAAAGAGCCAATTATTTAAAGATACTTAATAATCTTAAACAAGTATGCACCTAAAAACAGAGCACAAAAACATGTAAGGGAACAATTAATAGAATCAAAATAAGAATTAGAGAAACACAAAATTATAATTAAAACTTTACTCTGCAACTATTCTTAATATGAAAAGAATTTAAAGATACAGAAATTGAAGAAGAAAAGAAAAATGTCTTTAAACAAAGATGACGTAATTGTTTATGCAGATGGTATAACAAATCTACAAAAATAATTCCTGGAACTAATAAATGTTGTAACAACGTATCTAATTCTAAAGTCCTGTATTTGAATGATAAAGGATAGAAATTAAAAAGTAATAAACCAATACCATTTACAATACCAAAATATGTAGCTATAAATATAACAAATAATGTATAGAATCTGGATGAAGAACATAGCAAAACATTATAGAAATTTTAAAATTAGGTCTACATAAGTGAAGAGATAGTCCATGTTGATGGATAAGAATTCTTAATATTGTTAAGATAGCAATTCTTCAAACATGACTTATTGATTCAATTTAATCCCAAATAAAATCCCAGGGGGTTATTTATAGCTATCGACAAACTGATTCTAACATTTATATGGAAAGATAGAAGACCCAAAATAGCCAATAAACATTGAAAATAATAAAGTTGGAACAGCAACCCTATTTTCAAATTTTACTGTAAAGCTGCATTAATGAAGAGAACATGATATTGGTGAAAAAACAGACACAGAGGTCAGTGGAAGAAATTAGAGAGCCCAGAAAAGACATTCACAAATAGAGTCCACTGATTTTTTAGCTAATTTTTTTGACAAAGATGTATAGACAATTCAATCGAGGTAGTACTGTCAAAGCTGAAACAAATGGATGTCCACATTTAAATTTTCTTAATCTAGACACAGACGTTACATCTATGAAAAAAATAACTTGAATTAGATGGTAGACCTAACTGTAACTGCAAACAGATACAATTTCCAGAAGAAAACAGAAAAGAGTAACTGTGATTCTTTTAGTTGGTGATGAAGTATTTGATACAGCACCAAAAACATTACATAAAAGTAACAAAATTGAAAAACTAGACTTTATTAAAATTAAAAATGTCCACTCTGCACAAGACACTCAGAATTTAAGAGAGAATCTAGAAGGAAATACAAGCTAAGGTACATATGTAATAAAGGAATTCTCTTCAAAATATATAAAGATCTCTTAAAACTGAACAATGAGGAAATGACTCAATTATCTGAACAGACAACTTACGAAAAGAGAAATTCAGGTGACAGATAAGCAATGGAAATATGCTCAACATAATTTGCCATTAAGAAAATGACTATTATAACACAACAAGATACCACTACACACCTATTACAATTACTGCAATCCAAAACTATCTGAGAATGCCATTTATTGTTAAGGAAGTCCCATTGACTGCTGGCAGGAATACAACACACAACTGTTATGTTAGAAGGCAATTTGGCAGTTTCTTAGAAAAATAAGCATAGTCTTACCATAAATATTACACTTTAAATTTTTTACCTAACATATCAGAAATAATAAGCCTGTTTTTACAAAAGCTTTACAAAAATGTTCACAGTAGCTTTATTCACAATTGCCAAAAACTTGAAGCAAACAAAATTTCCTTCAATATGTGAATGGATAAATAAACTATCTTACATTTATACAGTAAAATAATAAGTATTGAAAGGAAATAAGCTATTATACCACAAAATGATACAGATAAAACTAAAATGCATATTGCTAAGTGACAAGTCTGAAAAACCTATATATTGTGTGAATCTCATTATATGCCATTCTGGAAAAAGCAGAATTATAGAGATATTAGACAGACTGGGGGTTTCCAGGTGTGTTTGGGGGAAACTGGGGGAGAATGAAACAGGTGAAGCCTAATAAATACTACCTCAGCCAGTTGATCAGATTTAACATCAACAGTAATAATGCATGTTGGCCCCATGTACCTTTGATAGGATAATATGAGAATGGCACTTTACCTCTGTTGCCTTGATACAAACTAATAATCTTAGTCTAATCATGAAAAAACATGAGATAAACCCAAATCAAGAGACATTCTCCAAAATATCTGAACAATACATCTTAAAACTGTCAAAAACATCAAAACAAGGATAGTCTGAAAAACTACCACAGCCAGGAGGAGTCTAAAGAGATAATACCAGTGCAATGTGGTATCCTGCATAGGACTCTGAAACATATAAGGATGGTAGATAAGAACTATGAAATTATAAAAAATCTATGCATTTTATAAATGAATAATACATAATTAATTTCTCATTAATTGTGATGACTACACTGATGTAAAATGTTAACAGTGGGATTAAGAATAAGAAAAAATCGCTAGTAAGATGAAGCATGAGCATTTATATGTAAAAAATACATGCTATACAGTCATAGAAAGTTATTTCTCATAATTAACTCTAGACTTACTAAGAGTCAATCCAATATAGCAAAACTATTTATTTATGTGATAATAAGAAATTTTATTTGCCTAACGAAGTTCTTGACATGCAATACCTCCTTAGAAATGTTTGCTGAATGAATATGTAAATGAGTGAATGAGGAATTATTCAAGGTTCTTCTCCTTGCCCTTTTTATTCCTGATTCTCTAACGTTTTCCATTTATACCTTAGCTTCACTGACTTGATCTCCCATCTTGGACATGTTTCTTTCCAGGTGTAATTGGTTTTTTTCTAGCTTGAAAGATAGGTTAGTGGTCATTTCTGTTTATTTAAATAGTATCTCTAGGACTCCCAGATATTAATTCTTATTGGCATAAGTGAATTTACCACCTTTTCTAAATAGATATCATTTTGTAATTTCTATAATATTACAATCAGAATGTAGTTTACATTTAAAGTGAAAAAACTTAGATGCAGAAAAAATAAATCTTGACTCACCTTTTAAAATAATACGTTTAGAATTTTAAAAACATGTAGATCAAGCATTTGTTCACACTATAAAACTCCCTCCAAGTGTTGTATATGGCAAGCTCCACAGAACAGGATCAGAAACTTTCTGTTTATCTCTGATGTGACAACAATAAACTACATACAGAAGTTGCTCAAAATATTAATTGGATACATTTAATTAATTGATTCCTAAAATGTAGATTTCCAAAGATTTTCATCTATAGGAAAAATCATTTAATAATTTAAAAAATACTGAGATTGTAGATCCTAAAAAACTAAATATAATAACACATTTAAAAGCCTATTTTAAATTTATAGTTATAACTTTAAAACTTTCAACATAAATTTTAATCAGCCTCTCAAGTGTCTTAAAAAGTATAAAGTCAGCAGCATTATTTTATTAATTACATAGATCTTCCATCAAAACAGCAATTATTTGTTGTCACTGAGAGACAAGTATCTTTAATGATCAAATTCATGTTTACACTACATATCAATCTCCATTTTATGAATGATATTCAATAGTGGGTTTCTTTAATCAAGAAATATAAATGTATATTCTCCAGGTTTTGCTCAGTATGCCATTTTTCAAGCAGCTGTTTTAAATCAAGTTTTGTAATTTTTGACTCTGCAGGTTTTCAAAAATGCTGAGTGACTAGTTTTAACCACTTGGACAAGAAGTCAAAGAAAATATGCAGAAAATATTTTCATGAATTTAGCAGTCTGTCTTAGCTATACTTTCAACTGACCTTCCTGTGGCTTAATATTGTGCCCTTTGCAAAAGAAGCTCTTTTTTTAATTTGCTCTGTTTTGTCTGCGGTGAATTCAATTTATTGCTAACCACATGTAGCCCTGAAGCATTAGGCCCACCTGTTCACAGGCGTTGCTATCCTGGCACACAGCTGTTATAGTGCCTGAGTTCCTGAATGAATGCAAAAGTATTGACTAACTTTCCACACACCCATATATACAAAATCTACACAGGGTTTTATCTGATGGTGTTAAAAGGTAATCCCTTTTATCTCACATTTCTTTGCTATGAGATTTTCAATTTTTGATTTCTATTATTTAGAACCTACTGAATTAAGTTACTTTTCCTATCAGATTTAAGTATGTTATTTATGGAAAATACACACGCACACACCAGGGAACAAAGTCTTTTGGATATAAAAACAGAATAGGATCATCAAATGCTTAGCTAGGGCTGTGTCATTTAAGCAAATAACATTAAGTTAATGTAAATAATACTTTGCTCATTGGAGATTTTGTAATACTTTGGCCATATGCAAGAGTTCAAAAGAAAACAAGACAGCCAAGATTATTTTTACATTTGTTTTAGAATGTTTTCCTCAATAATAGGAATACAATGAGGAACCCGCTATGTGTTCGGTAAATATTAATTCAATCTAAACTGACTAACCTTTTGAGGTATCTAAATTATTATTATGTTCATTTTACAGATAGAGAAATTGAGCAAAGAGTAACTTGCCTGATGTCAAACTGCTGGTAATTTGCAGAATCAGGTTTGAAATTTAAATAGCTCTGCTCAAAAAATCATGTTCTAACCATTACATTATCCTGCTCTTCCTCAAGGAACAAGCCTTTAAATGATGTTGTGAAAACAAAAATATGCAGCTACTATTTGTTTATATTGATTTTGTGGTTGTTATAAATTGTCTTGAAAATATTCATTTTAAAATATATTATTCTAATTTGTCATTTACATGAAGACATCATGTTATTTTACTGCGTACAATCACAAATAGAAACTTTTAAGTGTTTGAGGAGAAGTAAAAAAGAAAAGTTGAGATCGGACTTATCCTTGGCATCAAAACCATGTGGAAATCAATTTGTGACCTTGAAAAAATTATAACTTTTTTTGATCTTCACTTTGTTCTTAGGGATGAACCCATTAAAATTAAATAAAAAGTCATTAAACCCAGCTGTCAACATTATATGTATGGTTCTAATTATGAGCAGAGGAATTACTGTAATAGATGTAACACTTTTTATTATACAAACTGTAACCAAACATCATCGTCCAATTCACATATTAAAAAAATCATGTCTGTAATATAGTACGATAAAATGATGCAATAAACCTAATTCTTAAATATACTTTAAGGTGCTGATTAAGATTTAGAGAGAGGAAGCAAAAATATGCAGGTAATATTTTTTGAAAACTATATGTAATCTCATTGTTAAAATGGCACAAATAATTATATTCTTCTATCAGCGGATAGTTGCTTCAGTTTGGCCATTGACTTAAGATACTACGTTAGAATTTATTTTGACAAAAATAACCTTCTTGGATTAGGCATAACTTATTTACCAAGTATAGATTAGAAATATAGTTGCACTTACAAGTTGCAAATACTGTTTATCTCCTGGTTTGCTTATACTTTGGTCTTAAATTCACACTATGAATACTTAAACACCAAGGTTCTTCTATAACTTTAAATATGCACAAACTTCAGAAACTTTAGCAGTTTTTAAACAAGCATGTCTCCTTATGAGACTAATAATATTCCCAAAGAATTGTTCAGAGTAGGAGCATTTTTTGAAGGCAAAGTCGCCATGTGTAGCTACAATAAAATTTCCATTTAATTATAATGTGACCCACTGTAAAATATGATATTAGTATGTCAAGTCAATTTTATGCTCCCCTCTTCTGAGGCTATTTAGCACAACAAATTTCACGCTAATCAGTTGGAGCATTTAAAGTCAAAGATGGAAATTTATCATTTCTGCATATCTTATGAAACATATGTGTGCGCACATGTATTTATGGTAAATGTAGCCCTGTATTGCAATTTAAATTAGCAGTGACACTTTAGCATAAGTTTCATATTGTTAAAATTTAGATACAAATAGGAATATAGTATATAAATATTATTAAAATGTTATTACACTATATAGAAAACATGACATAATCCATAAGAAAACTAGGAGGAAGAATTATATATCAAAGATCTCAGAAGTGGTTACTTCCAAGTGTAATGATTTTTAATAACCATTTTTTTCTTTTTTCTTATGGCCATTTTATATTTTTTATGGTGTGACTATATTATTTGTTAATTTTGTACACATTAAGACCACATGAGCTGGATTTCAATTACTTAAGGTTAACAGACTATAGAATGGATTCCCAAAATGCAAATATATATATATATATATATATATATACACACATAAGATACAGGTTATGTTTCTTCATATAACACTAAGATTTTTAGGAAGAACTCTTCCTTCTCCAGGAGAGAGCTATGATATTCATATAATATAATTTTGTAATTATATACATTTTTATTTTATTATTATATATTTTCAAATTTAGTTATAATATTAAATTTAAAAATAAAAATAAATAATAGTCATTCATAAGGTCTCATAAAGTTCAGAATGAAATGCACAATTACTCAATTACGATGAATCACATATATGGAGCACATGATAAAATAAAAAGAAAAACAGTTGACTGGCCCTGAGAAGAATCAGCCATTAGAACCAAGAGAGAAGAAGTTTCTGTGATTATTATAAGCAAATACATTAACTAACACAACACATATTTTTAGTGCCTAAAATCTTAGTAGTAAAGAAGAAAATCTCAACAAAGAATAGAAACAATAAAAATAATCAAAAATTCTAAAATCGAAAATTACAAGTTTGAAAAAAATTCATCAGATAAATTTCATGAAATGGATATGGCAAAGGAAAGCATAAAATAATTATGTATCAATAGTCATAATCCAAAGAAAGAATATAGAGAAAAAATATTGAAAAATTTGAACAGACTATATTAAGGGATCAGGTATATTTATACTTGCAGTAACAAACATGTAAAGATTAAGAATGGACAAAACATTCAGGAAAGAGTTGACATATTTTCCCAAATTTGTTGAAAGAAATTTTCTGGCACAAGATGAACACCAGGCAGGATAAGTACAAATAAGCTCATTCTGAGACACATCATATTTAAACTGCTTAAAGTCAAAATTATATAGCAAAGGTTGAAAGATGTGAGAAAAAAATAACATATAGATTCAGGATAACAATGATGCATCAATAACCATGGAAGACAGAAGAAAGTGGGACAAATACTTTAAACAAACAACCAAGTAAAACTGTTAACTCAGAATTCTGCATACACGAGAAATTTTATTCAAGAATGAATGTAAATAGATAAAAAGAAATCTAAGAAAATTTTTCAAGAGATGACTTGTTTGAAAAGAAATGCATGGCATTTTTTTTACCTTAAAATGTAATGCCAAATGAAAACTTATTATATCCTCAGAAAAGAATGAATATCATAAATGATACATATCTGTATTTATGTAAAAATGCAATTTTTTTTGCTTTTCCCTCTTTAACTTATATTTATGAACAATATAATTAACTTTAACTTATATTTATGAACTTATATTTATTAACTTTAACTTACATTTATGAACAATATAATTATTTTACAACTATGGTCCTGTGTGGCTTACAATGTAGAGATACATTATAAGTAATTATAACATATTGGATGGGAAGAGAGAAATGACAAGTGAAATCAGAATGATGAGCATGTTTTGAACTGAGTTATAAAATTTCTGAGAATCAGGCATAGGCATGTTTAAAGGTAAATTTATAGTTTTAATTGCCTATATTGGAAACAGAGAAACATTTCTTAATAAGTTTCTAGTCTAACAATCTAAGTTAGAAAAAGAGCATATTTAATAGAAAATAAACAGAAGGAAGGAAAGATGCAAAGAGCAGAAATAAATGAAATAGAAACAGAAAGTCAATAGAAAAAGTAAAATGAAGCCAAAAGCTGTTTTTTAAAACAAAGTCATTAGAATTCAGAAGTTTCTTATGAAGCTTATTAAGAAAAATGAGAAAAAAATTACCCATACTAAAAATTACATAGAGAACATCACTCAAAATCTTTCAGAAAATAAAATAATAATGAGACAATTATAAAATATTTTAAGCCAATGCTTTTGCAACCTGGGTAAAACAGAACATTTTTAGAAAGAGATTCCTTAAAGGACTGAAAGTGGATGTAACATTCAATCCAGCAATTCCACCCTGGATATCAACTCAAGGGAAAAGAAGTCACTGTATGAAAAAGACACTTGAACATGTATATATGTTTATAGCAGCACAATTCACAATTGCAAACATATAGAACCAACCTAAGTGCCCATTGATCAATCACTGCCTATATAAAATGTGTATACACACGATGAAATACTACTCTGACATAAAAAGGAAAAAATAATGTCATTTTCAGCAATTTCGATGGAACTGGAGGCCATTATTCTAAGTGAAGTAACTCAGGAATAGAAAACCAAATATGATATGCTTCCATTTATAAGTGGGAGCTAGGCTATGAGAATACAGAGACATAGAGAGTGACACGCTGGACTGGGAAAACTCAGAATGGGGAGGAAAGGAAGGAGACGAGGGATAAAAAACTACATATTGAGTACACCAAACCTCAGAATTCACCACTATGGAATTCATCCATGGAACCAAAAACCACTTGTACCTCAAAAGCAATTGAAGTAAAAAAAAATAAAAATTAAGACGTATATTACCAATCCTTTCTCTAGCAGAAACAAAAAGCAATCCCATAACAAGAACTTTTCCACAAAGAAAACTCTAGGCCCAGAAGTCTTTAAAAGCAGTTTTTCATTTTACAGAAATATAATCTGTTATACAGTTTTCAGGAAATAGAAACATTTGTGTTACTCTAATTGTGAAACTGGACAGTCATCACTAAAAGAAAACTACAGTCTAATATTTTTTACAAACATACATAAAAATAGAATCCAACAACATATAAAAATGATAATACATTATGACCAACAGCAGTTTATCTCAGGAAGGCAGGGCATATCAATATTTGTAAATCCATAAGTGCAATGTGTAATAGTAAAGGAAAGGAGAAAAACACAAAATAATTTCAAGAACTACAGAACGTAATTTGACAAAATGTATATCCTTTTATGGTAATAGCTCTCAGTCAACTAGAAATAGAAGAGATCTTTCTTAACTTGATTAATGCAACCTATTACGAGTCAACAGCTACTTCAGATTAATGGTGAGAGGCTTAATGCTTATTGCCTAGGATCAGGATAAAGGCAAGGATATTCTCTCACCACGTTAATTTATCCTTATATCAGAAGTCCTAGGCTGTGCAATAAGGCAAGAAAAACAAAGTGAGATTACACAAATTTGAATTAAAGAAAGGAAACATTTTTATTTGTTGACAGCATAGAAAAATCCTAAGAAAATTCACAAAAATAAAAATCACAAAATCTAATAAATTTAGCAAGGTTGCAGAAAGCAATATTAATATGCAACAATCAATTGTATCCTATATCTTCTATTGCAAAAATAGAAAATATAATTAAAACAAAACTCCATTCATAGTAGTACTATAAAAATATAATTAGAATAAATTTAAAGAAAGGTGTGTACTAGAAGTGGTAAAACAATGCCATATCCATTAAATGAAGCTAAAATAACCTGAGAGGGGCGTGGTCAAGGATTGGAAGACTCAATATTTAACAATCTTCTCAAAATTGTTCTATAGATCAAGTCAATTCAAATTAAATCCTAACAGGCTTTTCTGAAGAAACATATGAGCTTATTTTCAACTGTACACAGTATGCTATAGAACTATAGTAACTGAAAAAATTACAAAAATAAGAACAACTTAGGATGACTTAACATAAAGCTAAAGCAGTCAAGCAGTGTGTTTTGGTATAAGGAAAAAAATATAGATTCATTAGACTCAGATCTGAACAGGGCCCAGAAAGAGATCTATACTTATTTAGTCAACTCGTTTTCAATATAGGTTAGTTCCATATCTTGGTGTATTAGTCTGTTCTCATGCTGCTAATAAAGACATACCAAAGACTGAGTAATCTACAAAGGAAAGAGGATTAAAGGACTTACAGTTCCACATGGCTGGGGAGACCTTACAATCATGGCGGAAGGAAAAGGAGAAGTACAAGCATGTCTCGTATGGTGTCAGGCAAGAGAGCTGAGCAGCGGAACTCCCATTTATAAAACCATCAGATCTTGTGAGACTATATCACTTCCAGGAGAACAGAATGGCAGAAACGGCCCACCATGATTCAATTATCTCCACCTAGTCCCACCCTTGACACATGGGGATTATTACAATTTAAAGTGAGATTTGGGTGGGGACACAGCCAAACCATAAAACTTGGCTAATTGTGAATAATACTTCAATGAGCATGGAAGTGCAGATATCAGTTAAAAATATTGATTTTAATTCCCTTGGAAATATTCCTGGAATGGAATTACTGGATCATACGGTATTTTCATTTTCAGGTTTTTGAGGAGCTTTCACAGCCTTTCCGTAAATGTAGGAATTTACATTCCCACCAGCAATGTACAAGAGCTCTCTTCTTGTCGCATCCTTACCAACACTTGTTATCTTTCTTCTTTTTAATAAATCCCTTCTAATGAATGTGAGGTAGTATCTCATTGTGGTTTTAATTTGCATTTCCATAATGATCAGTGAAGCTAAGCATTTTTTCAGGTACCTGTTGGCCATTTGTATGTTTTCTTTTGAAAAATGTCTGTTCAGGTCCTTTGCCAATATTTAATTGGGTAATTTTTAAAATGCTAGTTGCCTGATTTATTAAAATATATTTTGAATATTAACCCTTGTTAGATTTATAATTTACATATAATTTACATATAATTTATATTTTCTCTCATTTTGAAGATTATGTCTTCATTTTGTTAATTGTTGTTGTTGTTGTTTTGCTGCATAGAACCTTTTTTGTTCAATGCTATCCCACTGTATATTTTTGCTTTTGTTACTTGTGCTTTTGGGGTCATATTTCAAAAAGCCATTGCCCAAATAAATGTCATAGAGCTTTTCCCCTTATATTTTTTCTAATAGTTGTATGATTTCTGGTTATATATTTAAGCCTTTAACACATTTTGAGTTGATCTTTTTGTATGGTGTGAGATAATGTTTCTATTTTATTCTTCTGCATACAGATAGGTATGTTAGGTGATTAATATGTTAATTACATTGATTTAATAATTCCATATTGTACACCTATATCAAAACATCACATTGTACCAGAGAAGTGCATAAATTACTATTTGTTAATTAAAACATTATTAAAAGAAATATTAATGAAATAGTTTAAAATAAAAGGTCAGGTATTATACAAAGTTAAACATAACAAAAATAATAAATTTCAATGTAGATTCCAAGGGAAAACAGATAGATAAATAAATAGTATATAACAGTCAGGGATATAATTTTATTATCTAAGACAAATTATTGTTAAACTTCCAAAAGGGGTATAGTTCAGATAATTACTGGAGTAGACTGTATAAATGAAAACATATATTATTCATTAAATTCATTACATACATTATTTTACTAAAAAGGATATGTCTTAGGATTTCCACAAGTCAGGCTCTAAATTCCTCTCTTCCAGCTACTCAATAGACATTCCCCTAAACATATTGTTTAAACTTTCTATTTCCTCATGCATAAAATGGGAATGATAGCTCTCTTGGAGAGTGACTTCAGAGATTATACTCAATCTATTTAAAGTGCTAGCATTGACTTTGATCCAGAATATTTTATAAGTTAGTAGAAAATCAGTTTGTTTTATGGAGATATGCTATTATACAATAAAAAATATGCCTTGCTAAAAAATTATCTGTAGAATAGCAAGAGGAAAAAATAGATAGCAATTTCTTTCTCTATAAAATATCTTGTGATTACAAAAAAATTCAGTATTGAGTGTAACATTTTAAAAAACATTTAAATAAAAAACTGTCTCCTGGAATGTAGTCATTGTATATTAAGACTATATGAACCAATATTTAAATCCAGATTTAGGTGATTTTTAGATCAAATATTGTATTAGTCTGTTTTCATGCTGCAGATAAAGACATAACAGAGACTGGGCAACTTACAAAAGAAAGAGGTTTAATGGACCCACAGTTCCATGTGGCCGGGGAGAGCCTACAATGATGGTGAAAGGTGAAAGGCAAGTCTCACATGGCAGCAGACAAGAGAAGAGAGCTTGTGCAGGGAAACTTCCCTTTCTAAAACCATCAGATCTCAGAGACTTTCATGATCAGGAGAATAGCACAGAAAAGATCCTCCCACATGATTCAACTGTATATCAATGGGTCCCTCCCACAACACATAGGAATTATGAGAGCTACAATTTAGGATGAGATTTGGGTGGAGACACAGCCAAACCATATCAAATATGCAACATACATCAAATATTATTATTTAATTGTATTTATTATAGAAGTCAGATAGATACTTTTATGCCAAGTATACTAAATTATACAAATTGTGATTATATTTGATAGTTTAAGCTGCACAAAAAATGTATTGTTATATTTTAACATCATAGAACAGTTTGTATATGTCCAAATGTGATCAAAGTTAAATATTTGTAGTTTTCAAAATCTATGGCTGGGTAATAAAAAATAATTTTTATTTATAAGTGTCTAATATATCAATAATAACTGATTTATCTTTAAACAATTATGAAAATATAAAACAAATATTCCACAGGTTAAAAATATTTACATATAATAAGAAATATAAAACTTATTTCAAAATATCTATATTTTAATATAATTGTAAAAGCTTTTATTTTCCACATGAAGGGCATACCAGATTAACTAAGTCATTGTATTAAAATTAAAAATTAAGTGTGCTGATATCTATGTGAGGATGAATGATTAGAGTTGGTAGACTATTACACCCTTTTGCTTTGAATCTCACTACTGAAATTGTAAGTACACCACAATGTATTTGTGTTTATTTTAAATCTTTTAATTCCTGATGTAATTATTATTGTCATTATGTAATTTATGATATATAAGACAGTGAAATATGTGTGACTATATTTAGGTTTCTCATTTTACAAAAATTAGAAAAATTACTAAGAAAATATCATTAGGAATCTGATTTAATATACTGTGATAATTAAATATTTAAAAAATGGAGAAAATCTACAATTTTCTGTGTTTTTCACTACCTTAAAGAAACCTGCAGTAGATATGTCTGTACTTTGCCACTGCACGTGTCTATACATGACAAATATGACAAAATAAAGATATAATTAGAGCATCTACATTTAACAAAGTGTCCTTTCTCCAACATTAAAACAATGTCTAATGAATGAACACGTTTTAGGTAAAATTAAGCTTAAGGTGAGCATGTACCATTTGCCATGATTCTCTGTTTTAACTGACTTTCAGCTCAAATCATGTCACATTAAGATATTTAAAATAAAATATTTAGTCTGAACAATTGGTTAAAACAGAATGTATAGTTATGTATGATCACTACTAACTACACCATAAAGCTTTAATATATTGTCAATAAATTGTAATTAATTAAAATTTAGAATTCAAGATGTTTACCATTTATTAAATGTGATACTCAAAAGAGTGCACTGAAAATCATTTTGCAGAGGCAGTGTGTTGAGATTAAATTATTTGGAAATGAGATGTTTACAAAATGTATTTTCATAATCCTACTTAACAAAGAATCTTGGGATGGTAACTAAAGCGTTGATTAAACTAAATTAGTAAAGCTTTATGAGTTGTTCATATAAATACATTTTTTATTGTAATTAATTACTATAAATTTCAATAAAATCAGCATGAAGATGTTCAATATTTTCTTCAAATTTCTCAAAAATGATTACATTTTTCAAGTGTTAAATACCATTTTTATTGAGAGTTCACAAACATATTGAAGACTGTTAGACTTTCTGATACATTCACGTATTAAAACAAAGTTTGTACATTATTGCAGCCACACAGTTATAGAGCTTCAAAAGTTGAAAAAACAAAAGCTTTGATGAATAAAATACAATATTTCTTTATTTCCTTCATCTATTTAAATTCAGAGTATCATTATTCAAAGATACCTGAGTTATACTAGTAGCTATTAAAATAATATAGTAAGGTCATCTTTACTAGTTCAAATAATTTTCAGTGAGCTCTAAAGAGATATTTTTCATTGTTTCATGCCTGTCATGTATCATAAAATAAATTTATTTCTATATATTCCCATAGAATTATCAAAGAGAAACTAGACTTGGGTTATAAATAATAACCATTTATTTGATTACAGGAAATGAAATCTTGGTTTAGCATTGTAATTTCTAGCATAGAATAGCAATTTTGGTAAACATAAGTGCCGTAAAAATCTGTCAGTAATAGTTATTTAATACAGAGATATAAAGACATAGGAAGTCTAAAACGAATGAATATACCTTGATTACTGCATCACATACCCAAAACTTTAAAAATTTACCACAACTTTATAGATGAGGAAACTGAATCACAAAGAGGCGAAGTTAGGAGCCTCAATCCACAAAAGAATGTAAAGGTGGAGTCAGATTCCAAGTCATTTAGTTCAACTCCAATGCCTGCATTTATTAAACTACATTGAAATGGTGCTTCTTAAATCTGAATAAAAAATTAATGGCAAGCTCATTTTATTTATACAATAACAAAACTTGATATTGGTACTAATCATGAGTAACACGCTCAGAGGTAAGAAATATCTAGTTATGTTTTCTAGTCTCCATTAGTAACCTGCTTAGGATGCTTTATGTACGTTTTCTTCCTGGCACGGTAGATGAGGCATTTTTACCACCATGTCTTTGCCGCAGAAATAAATTTAAAATATAAACTCATTGTCCCAAATAACAATTCCAGGCAAAGCACACACCGAAAATAACTAGTCCGGAGCTGACAATTGCTGCAGTTAGATGAAAATAAGCACAATGCCAGTCATCTGGAGAACGCTGTAAGAATTTTTAACTAAAGTCTTTTGTAAAGACAGTATATAGGTGTTGGTGGCGACAGTTCTTCTGGAGTAGCTGCTGTGAGGATGCCAGCTGCAGCACTGCAGCGGTGCAGGCGTGGCCAGTGCCGCGCATTCTGCGGAGCCAGCCAGGGATGAGAACAGGTGATCCCAGTGGGAGCCCCAGGCCCTACCGAGTGGGTGTGGTGGAGACACTCTCCTGGACACAGCTGCCGCTGCCCAGCCGCATCTCGGGGACCTGGGCATCCCAGCGCTCTCAGGGGCCCGGGAAGCCCTCTGTCCCTACAGTATTGGAAGTGCCTGCTCCTGCTCCCTGGGCTCTCTCCCTGCTCCTGGCACCCGCTCTGCTGTGCAGCAAAGCTGTCACCAAGCCAGGGCACTGTTGCAACCCAGCAGGAAGTGTGCACACTCGGGACAGTGCTGACACGCAGCCCCCCCAACCCCCCACCCTGGTCTCGGGGTGCTGAGGGTGGCTCGGACCTGGCCTGCAGGCGCCCTCAGGGGAAGGCCTGGGCTCCATGAACAGTAAGTATGTTGATGGTGGCAGGAGACAGACAAGTTCCTCGCGGGAAGGGGAGGTCCCGGGTGAAACCCCACCTTCAGCCAGGGATGGCCTGAAGCCTGGGGACCCGGCTGCCAGCTCTGGGTGGAATTTGCCACCTGGAGTGAGAATTTCATTGATGCCTTTTGGCTAACTGAATGATGCTTTTTCCAGTCCCGCCCATTGCTGCCCGTGGATCAATCAGCATGCACTTCATCCACTCTGAGCACAGAACAACTTCAGACTAGGCCAGACTCAGACACTTTTCGGGATGAAGTGCCTGTGGAAAGGAGCTACCCACTTTGGGTCCCCTGAGAGCTGTTCTGTCACTCAATAAAGCTCCGCTCTGCCTTGCTCACCCTCCAGTTTTCTGCTAACCGCATTCTTTCTGGATGTGAAACAAGAGCTCGAGACCCACTGACTGGCAGGAGCAAAAGGAGCTGTAACACCTTCCTGGCTGGCTCACTTGAGCTGTGAGTGGTGACAAGCTCCCAGTTTGCGGGAGTTAAGAGTGGCGACCCTTCTGGTGGCCTAGACATTAGGATTCCTCAAACCAGAGCTGCTGCAACACTATAGCCCTCTGCCAGCCTGCGCAGCCACCCCACACAACCAGAAGCAGAGGCCCCGCGTTCCAGCCCAGGAGCCGCCCGCCCAGGTGGGCAGTGGGGCTGAAAGAGCTGTAACACAAACAGGCTGGCACCAACCTCCCCCCACCCCCCCAAAACCGCCCCCTTGCTCACTGTGCTGTGGGACAGAAGGAGAGAAGAGCTGCAGTCCTTCAGGGAGCCCAGACTCAGGGGCTCCTAGAGACAGGCCTGTGACACCCTCTTTGGGACTCTGCAGTTTCTGACATCTCCGAGCTTTCCGGTGCCACTGAGTTCCCCTCATCCAGACACTGGTGCCCTCAGCAGAAGCTGCTTGTGGTACTCATGGTCTAGCCGCAGCCTTGCACGGAGCCAGCGACTGTGCCTGCGTTTGGAGCTGCCTGCCCGACCACAGCATCCAACATGCCTGGCCGTGTGCAATGGCGTGACCCCGCGCTCACTCACACACCCTTTGCTCCTTGGGGCCTGGCTCATCTTTGGCCGGCATGGGATCTGGGCTGGTAGTGCAAGCCAAACACAGCCTGCCAGGCTGAGTGGGGGGAATGAGCCCAGCAGGTGTGAATAATACTCAAGTAGAAGTTGCCGTCAGCCACAGATTTCCGGGTGGCAAAGCGACACCCGAAAAAATCCTGCCTCATAGGGTCTTCATCAAAACTTCTTGCATAAAGCCTACAGCCATTGGCAAATTATGTTGAAGACCTTGACATATGCTATAACCTTTCACCCCATTTACAGTATTAGAAATATCTCAGGAAACCAAATGGAGCTATTAGCCTAAATGTTTGTATATACAACCCTCTTATAAGTTAAAAGTTGCTTTGTCAAAATATAATAACGAGAAACAGCAGCACACTGCTAGTTTCTTGTGAATAGCATACTTTACACGTTTTACTAAGGTGGGAACTGTTAAAACATTTTACTAATTCCTCAGAGTTTTCTTCTTTTTTTTTCTCACCAAATTCAGCTTAGATATCAATAAATACTAAGCATAAGGCATATTCATGGGCCATGTCTTCTACTTTTTCGCTTTAATATAGAATTAAAGCTTCCCAGAATATAAAGTAATTTATTTCAGGCAGCTGAATAAGTGCCTTTGTATGTAGTTCCAGAGCAGATAAAAACAAAGTACTTTCTAAAGCCAAGTTGTTGAACAGCATGGGATGCTAAGCATATAAAGAGTGATTGCAAAAATATTCTGAAGCAGGATCTCATTGCAGCTATTTCTTCTACCCTCTTACTGTGTTTGCTTACTGCATTTTTCCTCTGAGTGACATTTTCTAAAAACACATTTCCCATTTAGCAAGGAATTACTATGTGCATAACAGGAGCACTGACACACTGTGTTTTACTTACTAAGCAGGAAGTCACCCTTCTCTGCGAGGAATGCACCAATAAAAGTAAAACTTATGTTTTGAAAATAAATATTTTTGTGATTTAATAAGTAACAATTTTATTAACACTATAATTTTAATAAGACTAGCATGTACTCAAGTTACAGCAATAAAGACATAGGTAAAAAAGTATTATGTAAACAAAAATTCTCCAGAATATCACCAAACAGCCATAAGAATTTTATCAGCAAAAAAACACTGCATATGTGTGTGTGTGTATATATATATATATACATATATTTCTCTTTTTTATAGTTGAATGGATATGCAGCTGGAAGACTTGATGAAAAAATGTAGAAAAATAGAGACATAAATAAATTTGTGAGTAGATAGATAGAGGTAGACAGGAATGGACAGATGGGTAAACAGAGAGAAGAGTTTGATAAGAATGCTGTCCACAGACACCCATGCACACATCCTAGGTAACATAAAAATAAATGCAATTTAACTTTAATTAATATCAATAAAATTATAATTACTTTGAAGAACTGTAAATAATATTTTTGAAATAATCATTAAAACCATTTAATATTTAAAAGTAATTATGCAAACATCACATAGTGTATTTTATATTGCAGCTTCAAACTTTAAACTTCCAAATGAATGAATGTATTACCTCTCTTTATAAAGTAAAAAAACGAGCATTTAACCTTCCTTTTATCACCTCATCTTCCCCAAGTTTCACTTCCCAATGTTTGTAACTTATATGTGTTTATTGATGTTTTTCAAAATTTTTGATATCTTCTGGGCTGCATTATTTCTAATGAGAAATCTGGTCTTATTTTTGTCTTTTGTTTCTCTCATATTATGTACACTCTCTTCACTCTGCTGTTTTCAAGATTTGTTTTTCTGTCAGTCACTGTCCTCCAGTCACTTTATTATTATATTACCTGATGTCATTTTTCTTGTGGTCTTCCTACTTGGGCTGCATTGAGCTTCCTGGATCTATGAGTTCATAGTTTCTATGAAACTGAGAAAAAATGTTGGCCATTGTTGATTCACATAATTTCTTACTTCCCATTTCTGACAATCAAATTGCATGTACTCTTCAAGGGCCACTGCAGCTTTTTTTTTTTTATCAGTCATTTTCTTTTTTGGAAGACTTCAGTTTGTATGATTCATTCATATTTTGTATAGTGTTTAATCTGCTGTTAGGCCCATGTAATTACTTTTTGTGAAATAGCACATGTTCCATTTTTACCTCTAGAAGTTTATTTGTGTATCTTCCAATTCTCTACACATTTCTCTTAGATTGTCTTTTAAAGCCTTAAACTATGAATAATAGCTATTTTAAGAGCCTTTGTGAGTTAAATTAATCTTTGCTATAATTTCTAGCTTGTTCCTAATGACGGATATTTTTAATGGCATTGAGTAAGATTTTTCTGTGTCTTGGTATGTTGAGTGATTTTTGAAACTAAACATGAGGTCTCTTGACTCTGACTAGTTAGAACTTGAAGTCTGATAGCAACATACAAGATCTGAAAATTGCTCAATTTACAACTTTCTGATGGATTATTGCCTAGCTTTGTGGAGTTTTTCTACACTCATGCTCAAATTCAGGAAAGGCTCAATGATAACCAAATGAAGTCAGTATTTAGTAAAAGCTAAAAGACACTTAATTTCTATTTGTGGAGCTATTTTCCTGCATAATTTCTTTCTCTTTGAATACTCCATTCCACCAATCCCATCTAACTAAGCCTCAACAGAATCTGTTCCCTTTGTTATCAACTAAGCAGGACCACTCTGCTCCTCTTGGGTTCATCTCTCCTGTGATTAAGTCTGGAAAGTGACATAAGGTGGAACACTGGAGCAATCTGAGGGTTCACCTTACTGATATCCCTTATTTAATTGACTGAATTCCCATACTACCGCTGTCCAACGTGGAAAAATAACAGTTTCATATATCTCATTCTATTTTTTAGCATTTATGTTGGGAGAAAATTACTGCTAGAATTTAAACCAACATTGCCAGAACTTGGAGTGAGGTTTTTGTTTTCAAACTATTGTTTACAATATGAGCATTTAAAGATATAAATTAGGCCTCCATGGTTTAATTGTCTCACAAATTTTGATATGTAATACAAAATACCATTCAATTTACATTAGTCTACTGTGATTTATTCCTTGACCTTGCATTATTTAGAAGTATACTTAGAGAAAATTTCCAAATTTTGAGAGCTTCTCTAAATAACTTATTGTTATTGATTGAATTGAATTCATATCTAATTGAATTAGAACACATTTAATTGAATTGCATGTGGTCAGATAACATATACTGCAAAATTTCAGTCTTAAAATTTGTTGTGATGCATTACTCTGTTCCCAGATATGGTCTGTTTTGGTGAAGATTTCACGTGTGCTTGAAAAGAACACATATTCCAAAGTTGTTGGATGGCTTCTAGTTTAGTTCAGGTGGTGATAGATTAATTCAGCTTTTGTTTAATCTTAAAATGACATTATTTTACCCTAACTTTTAAAGAGTATTTTTTTCTAATATAATACTCTCTGTTGATTTTATTTATTTAAATCTTTAAATATATTATGAGTTTTTTTCCTGGACACCATTGCATCTCATGAGGACAAATGCAGTTTGCAACATTGTTCCCTGTAAGTTACATTTCTTTTTCCTCTTGCTTCTTTCAAGGTTTTTTATTTTCCTTTGTTTTATAAGCAGTTTGGCTGTAATGTTTTTGGATATAGTTTTCTTTGGTATTTTATTCCTTTGGTGTTAACTGAACTGCCTATATCTTTAATGTTATGATTTTCAACAATTTGAAAAGTTAATTGTTATTTTGACTATTATTTTTTCTAATTTATTTTTCTACCCAATTTTATCTCTCCTCTTCTGTGACTCCAAGTAAACACAGGGTTGGATATGTTCCTACAGGTCAATGAGTCTCATTGTTTTCCCTTTTTTATGCTTTTAGCTCTCTTTCTTTTATTTTGAGTAGTTTCTACTGGTCTGTCTTCATGTTCACTGAACCTGTCTGTCTTCTACCATTTTTAATCTGCTGTTAGGCTACTGAAGTGAATTGACTATATCTTTTATTTTACATTTCAGTTCTAAACGGATTTTTCTGTTTTTTCCCCTCAACTGAGAGCTCATAACCATTTACTCACTAAGATCTTATATCATTTAATTTCTTTAGATATTTAAGAAAATATAATTAAAATTATTGGCTGCTTAATCTAATTTTGTATACATTTTAGGGTCTGATTATTTCGTCTGATTTTTCTCTTGACCACTGGTCACATTGTTCTTTTCCTTGTCTTTGTTTCTAGTAATTTTTGTATTACATATGGGACATTATGAATGATATAGAGACTCTGGGTCCTATAATCTTCTCCTGAGGAGTGAGGTATTTTTGTTTGTGAGTTTGAATCTATAGGAAACTTAGTCACTGGCTACATGTCTTGGACTTGAGAACTCTTAGTTATATGCTTAGGTAGATTAGATCTGTAACATGAACATGACGTTTATGAACTACTCTAACCTACCAGGATTTTAAACTCTGAACTTTATCTTCCATGAAGATCTTGCCAAGACTTTTTCTTCTTTCAATTTGTTAGTTAAGGTTAGATTATGCCTTACTGTTTGAGGTTCTTACTCTAAGATGTCACATTTCTAGGTATTAATGAGATTTCTCTAAATTTTTCAGCTCAAAATGAATCATATCCCAGTTCTGCTTAAGCTCAAGTATTTCATTTTTGTCTTAACCCCATACCACCTGCTTTCTAATAAGGTTCATGATGGCTTCTCATTTGTTATTTGTTTCTGCACACAGGGTTATAATAAAGTTTATGACTTTTCTTGTCTCCTTTCTAGAGTAGGCTGAATTTATGGTAACTCAGGTCCAATTACAGATATCTGGGGGACAATTATCACTCTTGTATTTATTGTTATTGAGAATATAGGTACATTTTTCCACCACTCAAAATTGCTAATTCCTGAAATTTTTGTTACTGGCATGGTTTGGTGTCTAATGCTGAATTTGTGGTTACATAGCTACAAATTCTCTTTTTACACACATTGCCAAAATTCTATTATTTTATCTTCATCTCCAGAAAACTGAAACCTAGAAAGCTATTGCTTGCTCTTTTAGAATTCAGAACCATCCCTCATAGCAACTTTAATCAATTATTCTTATAGCTAGGGCACCCTAGTTTATATAAATATGTAGAGATATATTTACTGACAGTTTTCTGTATAATATACTGTAACTTACTCTGGATTTCATTGCTAATTTTGTCTTACTATGTGAACTAATTATTTTTCCTATTATTCCTTAGCAGAGGATCCCCTATTAACTATTATAAGAAAATGTAGAGACATTTTCTTATAAAAACACTTCTCTTTTTACAAAGTGAAAGTTTTTTCTTGTACCCTTATTTTTGTAATCCATTTTCCTTTTCTTCAAATTCTAGTTCAAAATCATTTTATTTTATAAAATATAAACATGTCATATTTCAATTTATCTTAGAAAAGTAATTTCTCAATATTCATGGAAAAATGGAAATAGACTAAATAATGAATAATATATTTAGAGACATGGCAAGTTACTCCTTACGTGTTATTAAATTTAAAAAGCCGGAAATAAACCTGCACATAACTTTCTTTTAGTCTTTTTGTCTTCTCTGTACATCTAGTTATATATGAAAAGAAGACTCAAGGCCGGGCACAGTAGCTCACGCCTGTAATCCCAGCACTTTGGGAGGCTCAGATGGGCGGATCACCTGAGGTCACAAGTTTGAGACTAGCCTGGCCAAATGAAACCCTGTCTCTACTGAAAAAAAAAAAAAAATTAGCCGGGCGTGGTGGCGCAAACCTGTAATCCCAGCTACTCAGGAGGCTGAGGCAGGAGAATCACTTGAACCAGGGAGGCGGAGGTTGCAGTGAACCAAGATCGTGCCATTGCACTCCAGCCTGGGTGAAAAGAGTGAAACTCAGTCTCAAAAAAAAAAAAAAAAAGAAAAGAAGACTCAAACCCACAGAGAAAAAGAAAATCTATGTATTAATATGTTGGAAGTATATGTAGGTATGGATGATATTTTTATTACTTTATTGCCCATTTTATTACATTGTCAATTCTCTTCCCTGGGAAATTGAGTGTTGTTTCAGTTACTTGAATTGAAAGACAGGCATACAGTCTGTAAACTACAGTCATGCATTGCTTAACAGTGGGAATAAATTCTGACAAATGTGTCATTTGGTAATTTTGTCATTGTGTGGTTATTTGTCATAGAGTGTAGTTAAACAAACCTACATGGGACAGCCTACTACACACCTAGGCTACATGGTATAGCCTCCTGCTCATAGGCTATAAACCTGTACAGCATGTTACTGTACTAAATACTGTAGGCAATTGTAACACAATGACATTTGTGTATCTAGACATATCTAATCATTGAAACGGTACAGTTAAAATATGGTACAGAGACTTAAAAAAAAGATACACCTGTCTAGGGAACTTACCATGAATAAAGCTTGCAGGGCTGAAAGTTGTTCTGAATGAGAGCGTGAGTTAGTGAGTGATGAGTGAATATTAAGGCCTGAAATATTTCTATTCACTATTGTACATTTTACTAACATTGTTCACAAAGTACAATAAATTTTTAAAGTATTATTTTATTTCATGAATAGTAAATTACACTTAGCCTACAGTAACATTTTTACTTTTAAACTTAAAAAAAAATTTTAGGCCACTCTTTTGTTATAACACTTATTAAAACAAACACATTGTAGAGCTGTAAAAAAATTTTCTTTCCTTATATCCTTATCCTATAAGCTTTTTTACATTTTTAAATATTTTATTTACTTTTTTTTTTTACTTGGTAAAATTTTTTTTAAAAAGTAAGGTGCAAACACACACATTAGCCTAGGCCTACAAAGTGTCAGAATTGTCAATATCAGTGACTTCCACCTCTACATTTTGTACCACTGGGAGATCTTCAGGAACAAGAACACACATAGTTGTCATATGTCAACACACACAGAGCTGCCATCTCCTATATAGTAATGCCTTCCTCTGGAATATCTCTGGAAACACCTGCCTGAGGCTATTCTATAGTTTTTTGTTTGTTTGGTTGGTTTGTTGGGTTTTTTGTTTGTTCGTTTGTTTTAGACAGTGTCTCACTCTGTTGCCTAGGTCAGAAAGTAGTGGCATGATCAGTTCACTTCAGCCTCAACCTTCTCGTCCTCCCACTTAAGCATTCTGAGTAGCTGAGACTACAGGCCCATGCCATGACACCCAGCTAATTTTTTTTTAATTTTGGTAGAGAAGGGTATCACTGTGTTGCCCCGACTTAATTTTTTTTATATAAGTAGAGTATACTTTAAAATTTTGATTTAAAATTTAGTACACAAAATACACAAGTCAGTAAGTTAGCTTATCATGATTATCAAGTATCATGTACTATATATAATTATATGTGCTATACTTTTATCCATCAGGAAGCACAGTAAGTTTGTTTACACCAGCATTGCCCCAAAAATGTGAGTATTGTGTTTCACTTCAACATTACAAAGGCTACCGTGTCACGAGGCAATAGAGTTTTTTCGGCTTTATTATCATTTATGGAAGCACCATTGTATATGCAGTCCATCGTTGTCTTAAACATTGTTATGTAGCATATACTGTACTTGAAACTGACAAGAGTCATTACTGATGGGTTCATAGACTATACCCAAATAGTGCCTTATTAAAACAATTTGTTATAATTAAACTTAGAGCTCAAGCTTATACTTCCTTTCAAAATAGCATTTTGTATTATTTTTCAAAGCAAAAGATATGCATTATTTTAGGTTTGCCCATGTTCCTAAATAATTTCAATGGAATTTTAAAGCATTCCAAAATCTTAAATGAAGGAAACTATTTTTCAGTTATGAATTCAATCATTATGTATTTGTGACACAATCATTAATTGATCATGACATATTACTTTGGAATTTTAATTAAAACTTTTCTCACCCTCAGTGCAATTGTCTTGTACATATATTTTTTCTGTTTGGATGCTGTGGTCACTTTTGAAAATAGCTCCCTTCATATCCCTTCTTTCATGAGAAAATGATTGCCCTTTCCTCTCTGTTTTATTTATCTTTATTTCTCTTTCAAATACTAAACAGAAAACTAAATATACTTTTCATTCTAGATGATATTGATATAGTCTAAAAGTCTAAGCTATTTTCTTTCCAAGCTTTTTTCAAACAGCTTCAATGGTCTTCATTTCAGAGTTGTTTTCTTCTAATTCTTTATGTGCATACATTGTGTTTATATTTATATATAAAACCTAACAGTGTATTTTCTGCTGCAAGATATTTTAAACTAGATAACTCCATAGTTGTTTAAGTAACTTATTCTTATCATTATCTTTCATTGAAAGAGTTGTCAATCTCACATGTAATAGCCAAGAAGACACAGACTCTTCAGGGCTAAACCCAGGCAATATTATATTGATTTCTTTGCATTTTGATACCTTGACAGCTAGTAAATTTAGTATTTCTCAAAGTACTGTTGAATATCTCAAAAGCAATTTTCCCTAAAAATCTTACCAACTCATTTTGAAATATGCTTTTTAAGATATATGATTAAAATTTAATTTCAGACTTACAAGAGTATCATGTTGCTTTTCATAGAGGGTACTTCTATTTTATTATTTTAAACTTCATTTGATTTGAATGACAGTGGCTTTTAAAATCAGCTCTTTAGAAAATTATATAACATTACTAATATTTTATGGAGTTGTAAAGATAGTAATCGGAATATTCTCCTCCTCAAGGACCAACTGAATTACTTCTAACAAAGAAAATCCCTAATATTATTTCTACTGCTCTACAAATGTGATATATAATGTGTGTATACTTGTAAATTGGTATGCATACACACGCACACAAACTTGTACATTTTCTCACACCCTAACTAGGTAACTTCTTTATACTAAAAATCACTAGTCTTTCTGTTTCATCAGTATGATCCCACAAATATTACAGTGAGAATTAAGGGGGAAAAGTAAAATAGCTGAAGTGACCCACATCAATCTCTGAAAACATAATATGCTTTTTCACTATTAAAATAAAACTTTCTAAAACCTGTTAGTGTAGAAATAACAGCAGATTCTGTTACAGTAGTTGGAATAGTAAGAAGAGAGTTACTGCTTTGAGGCTCTGATGAGTCCTCAGAGGTAACCTGAAAAACGACACCAGATGGCTGTAGAAGAGATCATTGTAATGATACTGATGTAGTCAACCTTTCATTGTTCATCAACATGGCAATGCCCATCTGCATTCTATAAACTCTATGACCTGGACTTGCCCCATAGCCTCATTTATTGGTAGGAATCAATTTTGTTTTGCCAAGTCATGTCCAGAAAAGAGCCAATGCATATGCAAATAAGCAAACTTTAGTCACACAAAATCCATTTCCATTATCCTGATAATCCTCCCCTAACTCTATATATAATTTTGAGGATGATACTTCTTGTTGGCCATGGGTACTTTGTGTAAACCTCACAACTTTTATTTGGCCAATTTCTTTTGACTGTCTTATTCAAAATTCCTTACTAATGGTTCATTACAGTCATTTTCTCAACGAGATCAGATGATAAATCTCATTCCACATTATAATTCAGCTTAAGTAATATTCAAATTAGCCAAAATTAGTGTAGCTGCTATGAACAGATGAATGTGCTCTTTCATTTATGCTGTCACTAAAACTCTGCCCATTATATTTTACCAAACCAAAACATTAATATTTTCTAAATAGTAAAATACAGCTCCTAAAGTACAATATACATCATTGCATTTATTTCATCATTGAATTAAAATTCTTTTCTTATCCCATATGACACATAGAGTGGCCATTTGCATAACATAACCAATGTCTTCGAATTGTCTCTTAAATAATAATTAAATAATTATATGCAGGTATGTTTTGTTGTTGTTTTTTTTCATATTTTATTTGTAAATAGCTTCTGTACTGGCCATGTGGGACAATCACAATAACAAATCACATATTCTGAGCATTACTATATGTTCTATATTTCTGTCAAATTTATCTCACTCATTTAGATGATTTTCTTAAAGCATATAAGATGTCTTCATAGTTGAAAAATTAATTAAAATTATGCATATAATATTTCTTGTAGCCCAAGGATTTCTAAAGAACAAAAATAATTTGAGAAAAAATTCTCCCTTTTCCCTTCATTTGGGATGTCCTCTTTTCTTTATTCAACTTATTCTTCAATGCCAACTACAATTTTTTTCTTATCCATCAATATTTCTTTGATTTTCCCTGTTAGAAAAATCTCTCACTATATGGAGCTTTTGTATTATTTTATCTTTGCCTTGTTTATAGCATTTTAATTTTTACTTCGAATTACAATTATTCGTATCCCTAGTATCTTTCTTTAAAAAGCTAAACACATTAATCTTAGAGTCTGAAACCTCTTAACTTTTATATCTTTTATAATAGTTTTCACGGACATCTGCATCCATTAATGTCTAATTAAATTATTCAATAAATTATTCCTGAATAATAAAGCAATCAATATGTTTGAAAAACACTGTTTCATAGGTGAAGAGTTAGAGGAAATGAGATGTCAGAATGAAAAAGGCAGGCTATGTGAGGCGTTTTTGGTCATTATAAGTGCTTTGGATTTTACTCTAGGGGACCTGGAAAGCCATTGGAAGATGGTATCCAAAAAGTCACACAATGTGATTTATGGAATTTTTTTTTTTTTTTTTTTTTGAGACGGAGTCTCGCTCTGTCGCCCAGGCTGGAGAGCAGTGGCGCGATCTCGGCTCACTGCAAGCTCCGTCTCCAGGGTTCACGCCATTCTCCTGCCTCAGCCTCCTGAGTAGCTGGGACTACAGGCGCCCGCCACCACGCCCGGCTAATTTTTTTTGTTATTTTAGTAGAGACGGGGTTTCACTATGCTGGGCAGGATGGTCTCGATTTCCCGACCTCGTGATCTGGCTGCCTCAGCCTCCCAAAGTGCTGGGATTACAGGCGTGAGCCACTGCGCCCGGCTGTGATTTATGTTTTAGAAGAATATTGGATATGATTTGAGGAATGCATTGTAGTGGGGCAAAATAATAAAAGAAGTTTATTTAGAAGGCTATTATCACATTCCATGTAGAGATAACAATAGTTTGAACAAGGTAGAAATTTTGGAGTTGATGAGAAATACTTAGAATACAGATACATTGGACAAAAACCACATGACTATCTCAACAGAAAAAAATATTTTACAAAAGCCAACACTTTCTTTTTTTTAAAAAAAAAAAATCCAACATACTAGAAATAAAAGAAAACTTTCTTAACCTGGTGAAGGGCATCTATGAAAAACCCATAGCTAACGTACATTTAATGGTGCAAAACTGAAACCTTTGCCTTTCAGGTAGGGAACAAGGCAAGCATGTCCTCTGTAGTACTGGCTTTTGTTTTTGCTGATTTTTCAGATCAAAATGTTCGTCAATTAGATAGTGGTGATGATTGCCCAACTTTGTGAATATACTAAAAATCACTAAATTGTTTTTCAGATCAAAATGTTCGTCAATTAGATAGTGGTGATGATTGCCCAACTTTGTGAATATACTAAAGATCACTAAATTGTATATTTTGAAAGGATATCTATTATAATATGTGAATTACATGTCAATTGTAAAAATTGGTATATTTAAAAGTTAATTTCTAAGAATTGCTACAAGATGTGATAGAGACAGAAGCAAGAAATCACTCCACCATTTTGTCCTAACAACTGGTAAAATAGAGTTGTCATTTTCTAAGTTCAGAAAGACTGTTAGGAGTATTATGTTGTTGTTGACTTTCTTATGTACAGAAATGAATGAAGTAGAATTCAGAAAGTAAATTTGAAGTGTCTATAAATCAAGTTGATTGACAAGTAGGTAAGACTGATAATTTATTTTTGTCATCTATTAATTTTTAATTTAGATATAATTCATATAATATGACCAACATCATCTTTTTAAATGTGCAATTCAGTAGTTTTTAGTATACAGGCATACGTTGAAGATATTGCTGGTTTGATTCCAGATCATCACAACAAACTGAGTATCTCAGTAAAGCAAGTCACATAATTGTTTTGGTTTCCTAACACATATAAAAGTTGTGTTTGCACTATAAGATGGTCTACTAAGTGTGCGATAGCATTAGGTCAAAAAAAGTATACATACCTTAATTGAAAAACTTTATTGCTAAAAAATGTTAAGAATCATCTCACAATTTAGTGCATCATAATATTTTGCTGCTGGAGGATGTTGTCTCGATGTTGATGGTTATTGACTGATCAGGGTAATGGTTGCTGAAGATTGGGGTAGCTATGGCAATTTTTTCAATTAAGAAAACAATGAAGTTTGCTGCATTGATTGACTATTTTCAAGAAAGATTTTTCTTTAGCTTGTGATGTTATTGGATAACGTTTTACTCATTGTGGAACTTCTGGAGTCAATTATCTAAAAGCCTGCTACTGCTTTAACTACCTTTACGTAATTTTCTGGATGTTTGTTGTCATTTCCACAATATTCACAGCATATTTACCAGGAATAAGTTCCGTTTCAAGAAGCCACTTTCTTTGATCGTCCATAAGAAACAATTGCTTTTCCATAAAGTTTTCTCATGAAATTGCAGGATTTCAGGCTCCACTTCTAAATCCAGTCCTTATGCTATTTCCATCACATCTGCATTGATTCCTTCCACTAAAAGTCTTGAATTCCATAGTCATCCATGATGATTGAATTCAACTTCTTCCAAATTCCTCTTAATATTGATATTTTGACCTCCTCCCATGAACCGCAAATGTTCTTAATGGCATCTAGAATGGCGCATCTTTTCCAGAAGGTTTTCAATTTACTTTGCTCAGACCTATACTAGGAATCACTATCCTCTGTGACAGCGATGGCCTTATGAAATGTACTTCTTGAACAATAATACTTGAAAGTTGAAATTACTTCTTGTTCCCTGGGTTATAGAAGAAATGTGTTAGCAGGCATGAAAACAACATTAATTTCCTTATAAATATCCATTAGAACTTTTGAATGAAATGGTACATTGTCAATAAGCAGTCATATTTTGAAAGGAATCTTTTTCCTGAATGGTAGGTCTCAACAGTAGGTTTAAAATGTTCAGTAAACCATGCTGTAAGCAGATGTGCTCTCATCCAGACTTTTTCTTCCATTTATAGAGCACAATCAAAGCAGATTTAGCATAATTTTTAAAATCCTTAGGAATTTCAAAATAGTGAAAGAGCATTGGCTTCACTTACAGTGACCAGCTGCATTAGCCCCTAATAAGAAAGGTCAGCCTGTTATTTGAAGCTTTGAAGCCAGGAATTGACTTTTTGTCTCTAGCTATAAGAGTTTTTGATGGCATCTTCTTCAAATACAAAGTTGTTCTGTTTACATTGAAAATCTATTGTAGCCACCTTCATCAATTACCTTAGCTAGATCTTCTACATAACTTGCACCCACTTCTATATCAGCATGTGCTGTTACATCCTGCACATTTATGTTATAAAAATGGCTTCTTTTTATTATTTATTTATTTATTTTTATTTTTTTATTATACTTTAAGTTTTAGGGTACATATGCACAACGTGCATGTTTGTTACATATGTATACATGTGCCATGTTGGTGTGCTGCACCCATTAACTTGTCATTTAACATTAGGTATATCTCCTAATGCTATCCCTCCCCCCTCCCCCCACCTCACAATAGACCCCGGTGTGTGATGTTCCCCTTCCTGTGTCCATGTGTTCTCATTGTTCAATGCCCACCTATGAGTGAGAATATGCGGTGTTTGGTTTTTTGTCCTTGTGATAGTTTGCTGAGAATGATGGTTTCCAGCTTCATCCATGTCCCCACAAAGGACATAAACTCATCATTTTTTATGGCTGCATAGTATTCCATGGTGTATATGTGCCACATTTTCTTAATCCAGTCTATTATTGATGGACATTTGGGTTGGTTCCAAGTCTTTGCTATTGTGAATAGTGCCACAATAAACATACATGTGCATGTGTCTTTATAGATGCATGTTTTATAATCGTTTGGGTATATACCCAGTAATGGGATGGCTGGGTCAAATGGTATTTCTAGTTCTAGATCCCTGAGGAATCACCACACTGACTTCCACAATGGTTGAACTAGTTTACAGTCCCACCAACAGTGTAAAAGCACTCCTATTTCTCCACATCCTCTCCAGCACCTGTTGATTCCTGACTTTTTAATGATCGAAAAGGGCTTCTTTTCAAACTTCACAAAGCAATCTCTGCTACTTCCAATCTTCTGCAGTTTATTCACCCCTCTGAGCCTTCATAGAACTGAAGAGAGTTAAAGCCTTGCTCTGGATTCAGCTTTGGCTTAAGGTAAGGCTGTATCTGATTTGATTTTGTATACAAACCACTGAAACTTTTACATCTCAGCAGTAAGTGTTGCTTTTGTTTCATTTCTGTATTCACTAGAGTAGCCCTTTTAATTTCCTTCAAGAACTTTTCCTTTGCAAACACAGAATGGCTTGCTGTTTGGCACAAGAAACCTAGCTTTTGCTCTATCTCCACTTTAAATATGCCCTACTTACTAAGCTTAATCATTTCTAGCTTTTGATTTAAAGTGAGATATATGTGATTCTTCCTTTTACTTGAACACTTAGAATCCATTGTGGAGCTATTAATCAGCATAATTTTTATAGTGTTGTGTCTTAGGGAGTAGGGAAACCAAAGAAGGGAGAGACAAGGAATGGCTGCATATTAAGTTCACTGTCTTATGTGGGCACACTTGTGGCACCCCAAAGCAACTATGACAGTAGCATCAGAAATCACTGATCATGTATCACCATAAAAGATATCATAATAATGACAAAGTTTGAAATATGATGAGAATTACCAAAATGTCACATAGAGACCTGAAGTGAGTACATGCTATTGAAAAAACAGTTAGGGTCCAAAGACTTGCTCAGTGCAGGGTTACCAAAACCTTCCATTTGTAAAAAATGCAATATCTCCAAAGTACAATAAAACAAGGTGTGCCTGTATCCAAAAAATTGTTTGACCCCCAGCGCTATATAATCTTAGAACACTTTTATCAGCTTAATAGACAGACCCAGAAAATATTTGTAATCACTGTCCATTCCACTCTTTCCATAGCCTCTGTGTACCATTAATCTATGATGTATCTCTGTGGATTTGCTTATTTTGAGCATTTCATATTAATGGGATCATACATGTCTCTTCTATCAGCTTCTTTCAGCTAACATATTGTTTTCCAGATGTATCCATTTTACAGCAGGTATTTATTCCTTTTGTGTCTAAATAATATTCTATTATATGGATATACCACATTGTTTATTCAATCATCAATCGAAGAACATCATTTTAACTTTTTGGCTATTATGAATAAAACTGCTATAAACATTTGTGTACATGTTTTTGCGTGAATTTATTTTTTAATTTGCCTTGGCATATACCTAGGAGTAGAATTGCTGGGGCATATAGTACGTCTGTTTGTCTTTTCAGGAACTGTGCAACTATTGTACACAACAATGGCATCATTTTACATTCCTACCATCAATGTATGTAGGTTCCAATTCCCACATGCTTATCAATACTTGTTATTTTTCATCTTTTTAATTATAGTCCTATTAGTGGGAATAAAGTGGTATCTCGTTGTCACTTTAATTTGCATACTTTAATGACTAATAATGTTGAGCAAGTTTTCATGTGCTCATTGGCCACTTATATATCTTTTTTTTCAAAGAAAAATGTTCATTTAAATATTTTCCCCATTTTAATTAGGTCACTGGATGTTTTTTGTTGTAATGTAAAGAAGTTTTATGTATTTTGGAAACTAAGCCTTTATCAGATTTATGATTTTCAAACATTGTCTTTTATGTTGTCAACTGTTTTCTTTTTACTTCAAAGCAAGAAAAAAATAAATTTGATGAAGTACAATAATTCAATTAAACTATTCTTGTGTTTTTTTTAGTAATTTATGTTACTTTAATAAAATATGTTTGTCTTAATTTATAAAACCAATTATGTAATCCACTAACACAAAGGGAAATGCACTTTGGGAAAAAAAAACTATTTTATTGAGTACATTTAGACCCTGGAATTTATAAAGACCATCATGTCAATGAGTGTGTGTGGAGAAAATGCACAGGACAGAGTCCTTATAAACTCCAAAATTCAGTGGTCAGAGAGATGTGGAATAAAAAGTAAAGGAGACTTAGAAGTGTTCTAAGAATTCAAGCTATTGATAAAATATTTCCCTGGGCATCAAGTGTTGAGAAAGTTTAAATAAAAGTGCAATATTAACGGTGTCAACATTTTTTCAAAATAGATGAGAACTCAGAAATAACCATCTCACCACTTCGAATCTAACAGGCCTCCAAAATTAAGATTATTTCCTCAGCAGATAGTGAGAGGAAAAACAGAATATTAGGGAGTCAGATTTGTTAATTTCTTGCCTCACATAATATATCAGTAACTATTTTATCATTAACTCTACTACCAGTTTATTTCTATATTTCATTTTGTTAACCTGGTATTTTTTTTCTTTTCCTTTTGTGCTATATGCAGAAGGAATGATTTTCAAGCTCGATAGGCATCTTTCCTACTGGACATTTTTAGCAGGTCCATAATTGGTAATTCTTTTTGTGGTTTCTTTGTTGTGATAAGCAACAATGACAAAAATATAAACTTAATGTGTTACTTGTCAAATTTTGGTTCTTTTTATTTGTATTTCATAGATTCGATTTTCATCATGCACAAAATCCATGAATTACATCTTGTAATAAGCAAATCTTATTCAATAAAAATAAATTAAAGAAATAATATTTTGTAGAAAAAAGTATTGCTTTAGTCAGGTAAAAATTATAAAAACAAAACAAAACAGCAAACCAGAGCTAATCTGGCTGGTCTTCTTGGGTCATATTCCTGTTTGTGGCACTGATCTATGTTTCTCTGCAGTGCCTCTCACTATGGAAGTTAGGCACTCGACAGAAATATTGGACTGTAAAAATGATAAATGGGTAGTGAAACTCCTTCCTTATCTTTAGTATATAGTGCCTGTGTCAAGTTGAACACTGAAGGGAACAGGTTCCACCAAGCTTGAGAGTAAAGTTTAAAGTTGGTTAAAGTTGATTACATTTATTTCTTATTAAATTTCTTTTAATTCTTACATTCCTCCTTAATTATTGCTGTACCTCTTCTTCAGCTGTGTGGGGAAGAAAACTAACAAATTACAAATTAATTCTATTATATATTACTTTAAGTATTGTTTTATTTATTAGGGAAGAAGATATGTCTTGCCCTTTTTATATCAATTAATTAAAATAATTCTACTTACTTTATGATAAATGCAGGTTTTTTATTATTTATATTTAAAGATGGCTGGCATTGAGAACTTTCTGTGTTAGTATTACTTGACAAAATGAAAAAGACTGTTTGCTCAAATGCTCAAGAAAACTACAAAACAGAGTAAAACAATGAAGTTTACGGAAGAGAGTGCACATTTTTCAACATATTTGCGCTAACATCATATGGGAAGCAGTACTGGGAGGCAGGATCAGCGTGATTAGGGTATCGTAGGCCAATTCTACTTGGCGATCAGATGCAGCACAGCTGTAACTTTCATAGAAAATTCTGTGCCAAGCACAAATAAAAGAGGTCAACTGGATGTGAGAAATCCATTCATAACTACTCTCAGCTCTTTACTGGCAGCATTTTTCTTTATCAAAAGCATAGCACAGAGAGATAAAGTGTTGTAAGACGTAAGATCACTAACAAATCTGGACAAAAATACTCATGTTCTATCTTTAGACTTTTTACACCTTGATAGTGTATACTCCTCTAAGCTAAAAATTGATAGGTAAATGACCTCTGTCAGTTTAATATTAATGATGGACATATTTATGGCACTGGATTAACTGCATATGGCATATTAATGACAATTTGTTCAGACTATAGTATCTCAGAAATGGAAAATCTCAAGAAACTCCTATAAATTCAAGTTGGGCTGTCACAGAACAGGCACTCATGCAAGTGATTTGGATTTTGAAGAGCAGTAGCCACATATATCAGCAAGTATATATGTGTGATTCTCCACTTGCAGTATTTATTTAACCAGGGTTGTAACTTATCTGTAGTTTACTTACATACCATGTGTTTTTAATTTAATATTATATACCAGAAACACTGTTAAAGATATTTCATTCTTCAATTTCACAAAGCCCTATGGAGTATTTGAAGAATATAAAGTGTGCTTCTTATGGTCCAGACCCTGTATTTATGGTAGCACTAAAACAGTGAGCAAAACTATACCTTATTTCTGTTCTAACAAAGACAAAGTTATAATGGGGTAGATAAAACTATTGAAATAATCACAAAGATTAACTGAGCCTTGTAGATTTCAAGTAACTTTCCAAAAATTATGCATTTTGTAAGTTACTGAACAGAGAAAGAAACCCAGTATGTCTCATTCCGGACCCGAGACTAGTAGCCATTGCATTATGATATAGTTTCTACTTTCAATAAAGAGTTATCCTGTTCATTATAAAGATAAATAAAAATACAATTTCTCATATTTACAAATATATTTGTTTATTTTATAAGAAATGTTTGAGATTTAATTCCTTCAACTCTAAATGTATTAAAAACATATTTTGCTACAAATAATAAATGTTGATGTTATGTTCAAATAAAAATTCTTAGGCCAAGCTTGTTAAACATTGCTAAAAATTAGCATCTGATACTTGTAGCTGAGAAAGCTTTTTACCCCTCGATCACACAATAAAATGAATCTTTATCTAGATAATTAACAATAGCAATAAAGGCTAATAAGCTTCAAATTTTGATTAGTCACAATGAACTAGGACACTATTATTGTGGTAATATTTCATTTTGTTCATGTAAAATTTATTTTTCTAGCATATCAAAATCAGATGTGGGTCAAGATGCTTTCTAAGTATTGACTCTCTAAGTATTGGGTTTTATATTGTGACACTTACCTTGTAAACAGCATGCTATGGGCAATTTTGTATATGGTTTTCGTGGGGAAGCCTGAGAGTGACATGTAACTTTCTCCAATCTTAGTGCCAGAACCCTGCAGTATAACCTCAACCTTAGTGCAAGTGATGCTGGGAAATATCTTCCTTCATAACCACAAGGAGAAATATAGCATAAGATTCGAGAATACCACAGCATTCCCATTGCAACTTTACTTTTTGGTAAGTATCATCAATTGTAAAGAAGATTTTTATATAAATTGTTATCAAAATAAGGAATGATTATTTCACATATCTACAATTACATTTTTAGAGTATAAGGTACTTTTATTCTCAACCATTTTGAAATACTGGTCACATACAAATATTAGTAATTCAGGTATGCAAATCAAATACAGCTGACATGCAGGAGGAAATACTGATAACTGCATTGATATCGGGAACCTACTGAATGTCCACCTAACAGGCAATGCACTAATCTTTCCACATATATCAAACCTGAAGTTTTTCATGGGATTATTATGTTATTTGAGAAGAATAAATGAATCTCAAAATAATAAATCCAAAAGACAGCCAAATACTCTTCCCAACTTGATTCTTGCTGAATTGGAGCATATTTACGGAGTATGGGATCAAGACCTGGAAACAATCTACATGTCCATCAACAAATGAATGAATAAATAATTCGTGATGTATACATGTAACAGAATATTATTTAAGACTTGAAAAAGAAAGAAAAATCTGCCATTTGTGACAACATGGGCAAACCTGGAGAACAGTATTCTAAGAAATATAAGCCATACGCTAAGGAAAAATAGTAAAGAATATCATTTACTGGAGGAATCTAAGAAAGTCAAGCTCCTGGAAGCTGACAGTGGAAAGGTGGTTGCCAGGGCCTATGGGGCAGGGGAGATGGGGTGTGGTGGGTACCAGGGAGAGATTAGTTGAAGAGTACAAAGTTTCAGTTATGTAAGATGAGTAAGTTCTAGAGCTCTACGGTATAGCATAGTGACTATAGTTAATGATACTGTATTGTATACTTTAAAATTTGCTACAAGAGTAGATCTTATGCTAAGAGTTTTTATCACAAAAATAACAATAATAAATATAAGAGAGCAGGAGGAAACTTTTGGAGGTGATGGATATGTTTATGGTACAGTTCTTGGTTTCCTCATTTCACATTTATCTCCAAGTGCACCAAATTGTGTACATTAAATATGTGAAGCTTTTTGTATGTTAGTCATATCTCAACAGAGTGGTTTTAAAAGGCAGATTATGGGTCATTGCTTTTTGTTGTTGCTTTCATCATTAATTGCATCACCACTGTTATTCATTGCATATAAGATGCAATGGAATTTTACCAGAAGATAAAATGCCTTTCTCTTGCCTCAAAACAAAATCTAATAAAATTTTTACATCTAGAATTTTTTCTGAATAATATATTTATAAATATTTTCAAAAAATCCATATTAAAGTACATGAGAGGACTCAAATATTTGCAACTGATCTTTATAGTACTTGCTTAGCCAAAAAATACATACTATACAAAGTTAAAAATTAAACAAAAGTCTTTGAGATTATATGATCGATGTCTGGCTGTCACATTGGTTTGTCAACTCCATCAGGGCAGAAACCACACGTTTGTTTGTTTTTCATCTTTGTGCCCCATTACTTAGCTGGTACCTAACACAAAATGGATGTGCAACAAAGACTTGTCAAATGACTGAGGAGGTCTAAGAATTTATAGAGAGAATTTGTATTAGTCGTTTAAAAAACTATATTAAACATGACATCCATCTCTCAGTGAATGGATAACAGAAATGCTATTTTTCTATTTGTTTTACATTTAAATGTATTCCTATAACACTATACCACATCAGTGATAAAAGATATAGCTTAAATCTATCCATCTACCTATCTATCTATCTATCTATCTGTCCATCCATCCATCTTGATGAACATAAAAACATCTTAATAGTACAAAGCCTACTAAAAGGCAGTTTCTGAATCATGCATAAAACCATACTATTTGTGTAAATTTTTAAAGCACTTAATTAAAATATGTGTATGTGTAAAATAAGTACGATCTCAGTTGCCTGAGATTTGTAGATGGATTTGGTAATGGATCTAGGATGAGTGACAAAACACACTTTAAATTTAAGTGAATATTTTATTACATATGTATAGAGTAAGTAGTAGACAAGCTAACAATTCTAAATGATGTCCAAACATCTATTTGGCTTATTAATTATTGTATTTTTTCTGTATTTCAAAAATTTAACTTTTACAGAGAAAATACTAATTATCCACTAAAATATTTACTGTAAAATTATGAAAACATGTTTATGTAATACGTGCTACTACTATGGGACCTTTGGTTTACATTCGCTGAACAATCATGCGGAAGAAATGACCTTTGTTAACAGGAAGGGCATTAACATATTAGACAAATTCATTTCCAAGAATTCTGGCCATCAAGTAGAAGTTTCAACATGTCTTTGTGTCTATGATGCCACAGGATATGACGATCAAGGGGAAAGGAAGTGTGTATTGGATTTTGTATATTTCAAGAGATCAAAGCTATTGAGGCTGTAGCTATAAAACTGAAATGAGCAAATAAGCTGACTTATTCTTACCATGAAATGAAAGAATCTAATTTAGTATGAATTGTCTTTGTGGCTTGAGGAGTAATGGAAGAGAAATATTTGGGAGACTTTTTATCTTTTAAAGTAGGTTGGAACAAGACTGTATTAATTGAGTTCAAAGAAAAGAGAAATTGTCAGCCTCGCTAATTTTGTAGACAGGTCTTTACTCCCTGAGAGAACAGCCAACTGGAAAGGAGATTCTTCTTATTATATTACAATGCTTTAATTTAGTACCTGGATCAGGATTGTAAAATTATTACTAGAATTATGATTAACAATATTTATCAGTGTCTACAAAGATACAGGCATTGACACATTAGAGATAATGAAAGATTGAGTAAAGGAAATTAATTATTATTATTTACCTCTAAAAACCTGGTGTGTGCGTGTGTTAAACATTACTTGTTTTAATTTCTATTTTTCAGGCACATACCTGAGGTTCTAAGACGTTAAGAAACTTGATCATAGTTACATATAAAAAATTGCAGAGCTGAAATAAGCGTCTAGATCTTTCTAAATGACCCTTTAGAGTTTGACCCCTCCTCAAATTCTAAGGTAATTAGAATTTGCTTAAAGACCATCTTAACATAACTAAGGTGATAAATTATACCATAACTAAATGGATGAATATCAATAAATGGGTATATTTCTTTTATTATTTAAGGTGTGTGTTAGGTATAGCAGTTGTAATGTGATGAATATAGTCTCTGGTATAATAGTGATTCACATTAGAAACTCTGAAATTTAATCTTCAGGCTGAGTCTCAGTTTTCTAATTATTAAAATTGAGGGTGTAAAAATTACTTCACCAGATAATTGAAGATTAAATGAAAGAACATATGTCACTCAACCTCCACACAAATGATGTTTAACAAGACAGCAGAAATAAGATGACTATGAGCTGAGACATATATATTTTAGTTAACTTTTTCTCAACATATTCTTGGACCCTAAACCTCCTTAATATTCTTCCTTTTGAGGACATTAATCCTGATTTGAGGTCTAAGCCTTCACACTACCCTGAATTTATCTGAAGATATAAGCCATTTTAAACCTAACTATAGGCTTGAAATCAACGGTGTGAGAAGGTCTAAGAAACAGGAAATATAGGATTAGTAGCATTCTGCTCTTAGGTAAACTTGTGCATTGATACTCAACTCTACTCATGCTGTGAAATAGGAATTTTGTAAACTTGTTCACAGACACAGTAGGAATCAGAAACCCATGCACAGTTGTCTGCTTTACCACTAATTCACTGTGTGCAAATGAGCTGCAAATTATTCTTTCCCTGATTTTGGTTTTGCTGCATATTAAAAAACCAACAACCAAACAAAAAAGCCTTTCTACATTTCTTAACTCTGTCGGTTTTATCATTTTCTTGTTCAACGGAAATTACACTGACTTTTCTCACATTAAAAAAATGGCATTCATTTAAAGCTTTAAAATATCTTCTGCTAACTTATATATTATTTTTAATATTTATTATTTCCTTTTCCTCAATGACCTTCAGGATAAATTAAGTCTTCAAGAGTCTACATTGCTCTAATAACGAAGAAAGAAGATTGGATAGAAAACAAAACAAAACCTTCAAAACTATTTTCAGGATTTTTTTATCTTAACGATCTCATTTAAAGGAAGTGGATGTTAGAAAAAAATTAATGGAGATCACTAGAGCCTTAAGGTCAGGGGCACAAAAGTTCTAGGGGACACTGACTGAGCCACATCAACTAGAATAAGACAGAAGAGCTGGGCCACCCAGGTAGTGTCTGAACTGGTAAAGCAGACTTCTTTTATATTCTGCTTGTATCCAGGTGGATGGGACAGATTAGAGAGAAGTCTAGGTGATTTGCCCAAATAGGCATTTTTCAGGGAAAGCTTGCTGTACTGAGAAAGAGAACAAATGAAAGCTAGGAAGGCTACCAGTCTTAACAGGATCAAAGCAGATTTAGAATGGGAAAGACACAACAACAACAAGAAAGACTTTCTTGTTAAATTAGAAGTTATTAGTGAGCCTGCAAGTCTCAGGTGTGGGAGTACAACTTGCTCACAGTTATAACTAGATAGGGGGCTAGACATAAGGGAATTCTGTATTCTCAAATACCTTCAAAATGCACTTTTTGTTTCCTTATCTCTAACAAAATTGTTACTTCACTTGATATCCTCTGAAATAGGGGCTTCCCATTCTACTCTACCCCATACATGCCACAACATTTTATTCATATCTTTTTTCCCTATTACCACTTCCGGATAATTGCTTGTCCAATTTGATGTCCGTTTTTCTTTACTTATACTCCATGAAATTTTAAACAACTCTCTTCTCTTTTTGTGGCAGCCATAGCATGGTACCCTCTTTATTTCTCAACAGCATATTCATTAAAGATTTTGGCAACATGTTCCCCCTTTTTACTAAAGTTCCGCAATCACTTTATATAACTTTAGTACTCATAGCAATGGCCTAATTATAATATTTCCTTCAAAGTCTCCTGATATCAAAGCTTCTCTAAGTGATCCACCCATTTCCAATGCCAGATCCAGAAATTTGCCATCATTCTCTGAAATATTGTAATAAGATTGATTAATATCTGTGAATACTCTCTTATAACTAAAATAATATTTTAATAGCTTTATTGAGATTTAATTAACATACAATAAACTTTATACATTTAATGTACAAAATGTTATATATATATCCACATATATATATATATCTTTCCTCTCAGCTAACCCTCTCTGTATCTTCATCTCCAGGCAACCAATTAATTTACTTTCTGTTCCTACATATCATACTGTATAAGCTAAAATGTTATATAAATAAAATTATATAATAGGTAATCTTTTATTATTTTACTTTTGTTTTTGGTCTGGCTTCTTTCACCCAGTGTAATTCTTTTGAGATTCAACACACTGTTGTGTATACCAGAAGTACATTTTTTTCTTAGAAATTGTCAAAATTTATTTTCCAAAACGGCTTTACGGTTATTTTCCTGCAACTTCCGGTTCCACTATATCCTTGCCATAACTTGATTTTTTTTGATTGGCTCATATGCTTAACTGCATTAACTATTTTACTTTAAGCCAAACTTACATTCCTGCAATAAAACTTATTTTGTCATTATGTTCTGTTATATTTTCTAAATTCTAGAAAATTGTATTTGTAAGTTGTGTTAAAAATTTTTGTATCTATGTTCATAAGTGAAATTGCTCTGTAGTTTATTCTCTTGTCATGTATTTTTCTAATTTAGATATGTGGTTCATAACAGCCTCATGGAATGACTGAGACTTTTCCCTGTCTAAAAGAGTTTGTGTAAGATTGATACTATTACTTGCTTAAATATTTGGTAGAATTAAATAGTGAATCCATGCAAGTCTGGAGTTTTCTTCGTGAGAAGGATTTTAAACACAAGTTACATTTCTTTTATTTTTGAATCGTTTGTCTTTCCTATCTCTCTCATATCTTTAAGAATTATTCTAGGGCCATGAGAAGCATGACTTCTGTGCCCTAAAGTACTACATGACATGGTTCTGTTTAAATCTTAAATATTTTTATTTAGTTTCTATTAATTCCACCCATCATTTGTTCCTATTCCTTAGTTTTCTGGCTTTTTTGGGTTAATTTACAGTTTGTTATTCAATTTTATCTCCCTTATGAATTTATTAGCTCCAGAACTTTTTTTGTTACTTTAGTGGTTACTTTTGTTTGATAGTATACATTTTCACTTATCAAAGTCGATTTCATGCATTTTATACGAATTTTAAAATAGTATTCATTTATTTATCCCCTCTAAATCATTATAAAATATTAGTTCCTTTCCCCCTAACTACATCTTCTTGTCATTTAGAATATGAAAATCTTCATATCTAAGTACATACAGGAAGAAAAAAGAGAATGGGCTCTGGAGCATTCAGTGCCAAGTGATGATCTCTGGTATATTTTCTCCAAGAGTTAGACACAGAAACACTGTCTCAGTACTCCCTTTTTGAGGCCCTGCTCACTGTTTTAGGTATGGAATTCTTAATTTATCCACAATATTAATGCTGTTGGTGGAAAGATATTCAATTTAATGTCGTGTTGTTCATTTACCTTTTCTTTCTTATTTTAATTCTGCTGCAGCTGTCATCTCTTTTGGATACTTTGTTATATTTTACAAGGTAGCACAATTATTTATCATTCCTTAGTAAAGACTTAAGAGACTACTTTTTTGAGAGTAAAAGGCCTGTCTTAACTTGTTTTTCATTTTGAACTTTTGGTTTCATTGTTATTGAAGAATAACTTTTAGACATATTTTTATAGATGTTTAAATTATATACATGCATATGTGTGAATGATAATTTAAACAAAATAAATAGGTTTGAGCATACCTCATGCTTTTAAAAATTAGAGCCTAGTCTCTGAAATCACTTATCTGCTCAGAGTTGTCACTGTTTATCGTTAGTTTAAGTTGTGCTCTGTACCTTCAAGGTGATGGGTGATACAACAATTTTTTAAGATAACCCAAACTATTGTCTTCACTGTAAACTTCCAAGCCACTGATCTGCATTCCAAATGCATACACAATGACGAGTATGTCTTTACTATTACCTGTCAGTGATTTCAAGTTGTCAAAATATTAAATAAAAATATACAGCCATAATTTGTTAAATAGTCTTAGTTTCAATTCAAAAATGTTTTATTGAATATCTAAACTGTACCAGGTCCTTTGTTAGGAAGAGGAGATGTAACAGTGAAGAACAACAACAACAAAAATAAAGCCACTGCCCTCAAGAACTTGAAAGGGGCATTTTCTCACTTTATTTATCTTTTTGTTTCTAAAACTTAGCACATTGGCTTCCAATAAAGGATTATGGGCTTACTAAAATCCACACAAAACTTTAGGTAGCATTGAACTTGAAGATGAAATTCTTGAATTCACCCTTGAATTCATTTTGCAAGGTTATTGGGAAGATATATACCCAAAGGCTGATAATTATTTCATTATCTGCTAATACTATCTAATATTTTCTAATAATTTATAATTTTAGTATCATGCCAATATTGATATTGTGCTGCTTCATGTAGAAGGTAACATTGTGGATCAAAAAGGAATAGTAAATTAAGAAAATATATCATATTTCTAAACTCAAAGTAATCACTTTCTCAATCTCAACAAAAGTCTGAAAACTGTCAATGAAATATCAGTTGATGTGTCTCTCCTTTTTATTGTATTTGAAAGCAAAGTAAGCATTTTGATTGTAATTATTATGGAGACAGTTCAAAAAAGTTCTATTTGTCATACAGTTAAAATAACTCAAATACTTAAAGGGATATTCAAAAATATATTTTCTATTATTTTCAATTTACACTGGAGGACCTTCTATTCATAAATTTACACATGTATTTTATTTAATTTGTAGTTTGAGGAAATTGGGTAATATAATATGATTATGTACATAGAAGAAAAATTTTACCTTATTTTCTGTAGAATCTATAAACTATTTTATAAACATAATTACATTTTTCCTTTGATTTCCCTGAACTCTCTCTAGGATCACTTTTACTTTTATCCTGAGAAAATAGTTTGACCTCTGGTTCTCCAGAGTTAATAGAAGAGGAATATTAAAAATTTGTATAATATTGTTTCCTTGAAAATGAAGGCTTTGATTAAATAATATAGCTAAAGTTGGATAGAAGATAACCTTTAAAATGCATACTTACACGGGAAAAGAAAGATTTCCAGTCTCCTTTGTTTGAGGATGTGACATTGTCTTAACTATTTCTGATACTGCTTCTTTACATTCCCTGTGGAAATATAAACAATTAACAACAGATAAAATACAGAGTAGAAGAAGAGTCATTTAACATGAGCACCTGCGTCAAAATGCAATAGAATAAAATTACTGTATAAAATTTCAAATTATATATTCAGATGTGAATTAATTTTATTTATTTTCTATAATTAATTTGGGGTTTTGAATTTATTCTGAGCTGTTTTCTGTATTTTGGAAGAAGATTTCATTATTACCTGATTTCTTGTTTCCTTAGTCATTTCAGATTTAAACTGACAATTCAGAATTTTACCCTAACCACAAATGTAAGATCATTCTCGAATCTTCTGTCTTTCCTGTCTCTCTCATATCTTGAAAAACCATTCTAGGGCCATGAGAAGCATGACTGCTGTGCCCTAAAGTACTACTCACCTATGGCTATTCTATTGTTTCTATGACACTCTGATGTGGGAAACTCAGGGAGAAAACACGGCTCAAAGTACCAGATGAGAAGTTCATAACAGATTGTATTACTCTCAAATTACTAATTGTGTCCAAATGTTTAATATTCTCACACCTTTGGATCTAACGTAATATTTGGTGTATGGGTAAGGTAAGAAACACTTTTTAACAACCCATTCTAACATCTACTTCCAGTTCAGTAGGTCACTGTCTCGAAAGGAAAGGCAGACAAGAGTTTTAAGCAAAATGGAATGGAGGAGGGAGAACTGGCTTTTCCTAATAAGATATTCTATTCAACTCTCTTTGTCTTACTTTTAGGCTATGGGTTTTATCTTAAAGTCTAGAATGCATTAATTTTGTGATTTAGTGAAAAACTTATTTTAGAGGGAATTATAGCCTTATATATTACTGCTCAGAGGAAAGCCATGGGTTTAAAAGAACATACAGATAGATAGCATGAGTAACTATCCACGAATATTTTAAAATTTCATCCAGAAGAGAGTAAAAGAAAGTTGAACTAATTCACAAGATTTGGATTTACTGAAGTTTCATGTGTCAGAGACTATGCAAGGAAGGGAAAACCCTTGATGATTTATTGTTAACTTTCTAGGTATACAATTCTTGGTGCAATATTTTAAGTAGAAAAAGATACCCATTTGATACATCTGCAGACCGCAACATCTGAAAAGCAAAGCCAATTAATCAACCTGAAATTTGACATGGCAAATCTGGAAATTCCCGCTGGCTGCAATGGGATCAAGATCAATGACTTTCCCTGGCTTTGCAGCTCTTTCAAAACTTGATCTCCTTCTGCTCTTACCTCTTTTTTCACCAGAGGCCATTATGCCTTAATTCCCAGCAGACTATGTCTGAAGATTTTCTGGCATTTTGGCATCTTTAAATAATGTGGTACCTTTTTCCTCATCTTACTGGAGTGCTCTAAGCTTCTGTATTTTCTAGTAGCATTACAATAAATCATAACATTTTATCCAAATCTGTTTCACTCTACTTCCAATTGAAACATTTCATAAATGCACCAGGTCAAATTAATGGCTATCACTATTCACACTAGCAAAGACTTGGAACCAACCCAAATGTCCATCAATGATAGACTGGATTAAGAAAATGTGGCACATATACACCATGGAATACTATGCAGCCATAGAAAATGATGAGTTCATGTCCTTTGTAGGGACATGGATGAAGCTGGAAACCATCATTCTCAGCAAACTATCGCAAGGACAAAAAACCAAACACCGCATGCTCTCACTCATAGGTGGAAATTGAACAATGAGAACACTTGGACACAGGAAGGGGAACATCACACACTGGGGCCTGTTGTGGGGTGGGGGGAGCGGGGAGGGATAGCATTTGGAGATATACCTAATGTTAAATGACGAGCTAATGGTTGCAGCACACCAACATGGCACATGTATACATATGTAACTAACCTGCACGTTGTGCACATGCATGGTAGAACTTAAAGTATAATAAAAAAAAAAGTTAATGGCTATGTATTCAACATTTTAGATTGAGGGCTATACTAGTCCGTTTTTACATTGGTATAAAGAACTACCTGACACTGGGTAATTTATTTAAAAAAATCAGCTAACAGCTTCACAGGCTGTACAGAAAGCAAGGCTGGGAAAGCCTCGGGAAACTTACAGTCATAGCTGAAGGTGAAGGCGAAGCAAGCCCATCTTCATATGGTGACAGGAGAGAGAGAGAGAGCAAAGGAGGAAGTTCTATAAAATTTCAAAAATCAGGTCTCATAAGAACTCACCCACTACCACAAGAACAGCAAGGGGGAAATCCACCCCCACGATCCAGTCACCTCCCACTAGGTCCCTCCCCCAGCACTGGGGATTACAATTCAACATGGGATTTGGCCTAACCATGATGGCCTAGCCATGATTACAATTCAACATGGGATTTGGCCTAACAGAACCTAACCATATTGAGTCATGTATATCAATTTTACCACTTATGGAATACCTATGTATGATTCTAAATTTCTCTAAATCTTCTTTCATCAACACCCCCTTTGCCTCTCTTAGAAACTAAAGTAATTGAAGGTTTTATAGAACTCCTTTGTATTTTACTCATTAGCATGAGTTTCAATTAGTCCAATTTTGCTGTGTTCAATTAGTCCAATTTTGCTGTGTTCAATTAATTTAACACTTACAATGCTTGAGAACTGCAGCATGAGACAATAGTACAAAAGAGTACAACAGAGAAGTACAGAACTTTATTTGATTGCTTTCCTAAACTGAGCAGCTGTACATTTAGCCAGAATCATTTAAATTTGGGATTTCTACCCTAATAGCGTACAGACCATGGTTTAGCTAGTCAAGAGCTTGACAGCAGGCCTTCTTAAAAGGTCAGAATTTCAAAAACTAGTTAACATTTGTGTCTACTTTTGCATCTCTTTTATTTATTTTCTTCTAATTCTAACCCATCTGTTTTTCTAGCAGAAGCCAAGAGGATAAAGAAGATTATCTTACTGAATGACAACCCCCACATCGCATGAAATTGCAGAATTGTATGAGTATTTCACACATAAGAACTTGTGGCCTAAGAAAATAACAAAATAACTAGAAAACATGGAGAAGCTTGAGACATAATATCAGAAGAAAATCTGTATAAAATTACTAAAAATCAAAGTACATATCAGGCTGTTAAAGCATAAATAACCTTGTTGTTCAATAAAAGTGACAGCGAGGTGCTTTCTCTACAGTGAAGTGTAACCTTGTCTTCCCAGTCAATAATCTAATCTACATAAACTAGGCACACTATCCAGCCACACTTTGGAAATGTATTAGGTATCTTTTTTTTTTTATACTTTAAGTTTTAGGGTACATGTGCACAATGTGCAGGTTAGTTACATATGTATACATGTGCCATGTTTGTGTGCTGCACCCATTAACTTGTCATTTAACATTAGGTGTATCTCCTAATGCTATCCCTCCCTGCTCCCCCAACCCCACAACAGGCCCCAGTGTGTGATGTTCCCCTTCCTGTGTCCATGTGTTCTCATTGTTCAATTCCCACCTATGAGTGAGAACATGCGGTGTTTGGTTTTTTGTCCTTGCGATAGTTTGCTGAGAATGATGGTTTCCAGCTTCATCCATGTCCCTACAAATGACATGAACTCATCATTTTCTATGGCTGCATAGTATTCCATGGTGTATATGTGCCACATTTTCTTAATCCAGTCTATCATTGTTGGACATTTGCCTTGGTTCCAAGTCTTTGCTATTGTGAATAGTGCCGCAATAAACATACGTGTGCATATGTCTTTATAGCAGCATGATTTATAATCCTTTGGGTATATACCCAGTAATGGAATGGCTGGGTCAAATGGTATTTCTAGTTCTAGATCCCTGAGGAATCGCCACACTGACTTCCACAATGGTTGAACTAGCTTACAGTCCCACCAACAGTGTAAAAGTGTTCCTATTTCTCCACATCCTCTCCAGCTCCTGTTGTTTCCTGACTTTTTAATGATCGCCTTTCTAACTGGTGTGAGATGGTATCTCATTGCGGTTTTGATTTGCATTTCGTGTGGCCAAAATATTCAACTGTGTTTAAACCTATTAAGTATTATATTCTTACAACCTATTTTCCACATTAGCAAATGGATCTTTGTGGTTGGGAAATCTGGTAAAGATACCTAATACATTTATGCAGCCAAAAGACACATGTATTAGGTATCTTTACCAGATTTCCCAGCCGCAAAGATCCATTTGCTAATGTGGAAAATAGGTTGTAAGAACTTAAGACTTAATAGGTTTTAAACATAGTTGAATATTTTCAGGACACTTTTGGTTTCTGAGGCCCATGTGACTTATTATTGGGCCTGGGCCAACAAGGTAACACACACTTGGCTCAGAGCAAAGATTGATGTATATCATTCATTGGCTTTCATGGAAAGAGGCTCTTCCAGCAGAACAGATGGCATGCCACACGGTTCAACTTTCTGTGCCTCTTTTTGATAGATTTTTTTTAGATGGTCTGGTTCTTTGTGTATGTGTGTTTATTTCTTTAATGTGCAAGGGCATCATTTAACTATCCGTGCAGTTCTTGTGAAGGCCTGCTTGTGTACCAACAACAGCAAAAGCTTACTTAGATTCAGCTCTGGTCATCCAAGATTTATTTTTTTTCTAATGGCAGACAAGTAATGTTATTTTTCTAAATAACTTGAACTTCTCATCTAAAGCTGCTTATTTATTGTGCTTCATATACTAATCTATTATATATTAGGCATATTTGCATTTTCTTAGTAACACATCCATTTATTTACTGGAAATGTAAAAATTTTCTCTTTGGTAGAAAAGATATAATCCCATTGTCTTTCAAAATCCATTACATCTTTTCAAGAATTACCATGGTTTCCATATCAACTCAGTATATGACAGTTTCCCAGGAGATTAATCAAATTAGCTCACTTTATAAAAATAATGCAATAAAATAAGTATTTCTTAAGTTCATATGATTTGATTGATAGAGATATATTACAAATGTAGGCATGTAGTAATTTAAGGCTTTTACTTAAAAGAAGGACAACTTCCTGGTCGTTATCTTGCAAAGTAAATCAAAAGTATAAATATTTTACTTCTGAGACCTCTTTACTGCATCTTTCTATAGTAACTAACAGATTGTGTAAGATAAATGCCATGTCATATTTAATAATCGTTTCTAAATAGATGTTATCTTTTATTTTTGTATAATACGGTTCTTAATTCAGATAAATGTAACGGTAGTAGCCAGATAATTTAATCTTCAGGCTATAAAACTATAATTCATTAATAAACTTTGAATTTTAATTTGTGACACTAAAAGTTTTTTAGATTTATTATTATATCTAATTATATTAGTATAAAATTTATAGTGGTAGAGAAAAATAAATGAACATTTTGAAGTTTAATTATGGCACTTTTTATTATAACTTCAATTTTCTTAAGTACAATAATCATCAGGTTACAAAAAGTTTTGAAAGTGTTCTACGTTTATAGCACAGATTCTAATATATAATGTGGCTTACGTTCTTGAAATAGTAGTTTTGAAGGTTTAGCATTCTGTCTAATAAATTATTTACTTGAACACAAAAAAAGACAGACTTTCTCATTCTCAAATATACATCTAAATCAGAATTTTTTAAATAAAAAACTCAGTTAGCATGATATTATTATTGCTACAGGGTAATATTTTTTGTCACTGTCTTATAGATACCAGCTTGTCCTTCTTACCTTTTCTCTGCTATCCATCTTCTTGACTAACTTGAAGTTACTATATACACCCTATTTAAAGCTAGAAAAACGATTCTTAATTATCATCATTAGAAAACCAGATTTTAAAGGGAATGGCAACAATCTACCATCTGCAAATATACTCTAACTGTCAAAATAAATCTGTGGATGACACTACTATACAGTATTTCAATGATCGCAGAAAATAAGTTTTGGTCAAGGGAGATCTGTTTATTCAGACTCAGAACTTTAAATTAGTTTAGAATGGATACAATCACTCTATATAAAATATTAAAGACAACAAAATTCAACGTGAGGGAAAGTTTTATTTTAAGAGATATTAATAGGATGCAGATTAATTGACTGCAATGTGTGAATTAAAAGTATAAGACAAGAATAATAGAATTGATTATAGAATACCCAGTAGAGCAGTAAAATACATCATGTTGCTATGAAGATAAAGAGAAAACAAGCAAAGTCTGCAGAGATGGGAATAGACAAACATGTAACACTGACTTCTTGGAGCAATTAAGGATGTGGAGAGTTCCACTGAAAACAACTATACTCATTCCATGCTTGTCATGGTACTCTTGGCTCTGTGTTTCCTGGCAACACAGTCTTTTGAGAACCCTGTTGGGGACAAAACTGGTATTAAGCAATCTTCCGTGACTAACAGCCTGGCTCTGTTTCTGGTAGATGGGCTAAAAAACACAATTAAACACATACACTTGCCTACATGCTAGAAATGGGAAGATGTCATTATTTTTCTTGCTGTTGATATTTGTTACATATACAAAGTAAACACTTCTGAAAGATTAAAAAAACACATTTTGTGAGTGCATATGTGTGGAAGAAAAGTAATTATCACATGAAATGTATACATTATAAATGTGAATGTTTCTGATAAGTGGCCAGGGTACTTAGGTTGAACATAAAATATTATTTTGTACTTTAATACTATAGTAACTGCTATGATTTAATGTTTGTCCCCAAAATTTCATATGTTGAAATCTGAACATCCAAGTGATAGATGCAATGAGAACACACCATCTATGAACCAAGAAAGAGGTTTTCAACAGACATTGAATCTGTCTGTACCTTGATCCTGGACTTCACAGCCCCCAGAACTGTTAAAAATAAATTTCTGTTGTTTCAAAGCTGTCCGGTATATGGTATCTTGTTATATGAGCCAGAACAGACTAAAAGCAACTAAATACACACATTAGTGCCACAACGGCAGCACATTAAAAGACAAGTATTTGTTTTCAAAAAGCTTTAATATAATATTCAATAAATATGCGCCTAATTAATACATCAGCAATACATATTTTCTTCACTAAGATTTGCACAAAGCATTAACATCAATTAAATTTTTGCATGTAAATATTCAATAAAATTAAAATCATGAAAAATGGTATCCATGGATGATGGTCTGAAATCTGTACAGTCCATCTTTACTGAATTTTATAATTTAATATATCCAGAAATGAAGATTTCTCATATTTAAGTCAAATGTGTTTTTGCAAAATCAAATATATTAACTATGACTTTTGCATCATTCCTTGAATTTGTACTCAGTGTTATTACAGCATTCAGGCATAAGAAATCACCATTACATTTGTAGTAAGAATAATTTGGAGAAAATTACATGTAGGTGCAGGATGAAATATTTATAAGGACCAGGAATAGACACCTTCATCACTCTTTAATACCAGAAAAGGCATGTTTATTCCAATCAAATGGATAGATATTGTGAATCTTATGGTCAACCATATAACATTCCATAATGTTATCTTCATTCTGGCCAGCAAGAAGCTCAAGGACAAATGTGTGCATTATTTCAATGATACAATACTTAAGGTATGCATGTTTAACAAACTAATCACATGGCTTACACTTTTTTTTTTTTTTTTTTTTTTTTGCCAGTCTCGCTCTGTTGCCCAGGCTGGAGTGTAGTGGCGCAATCTCGGGTCACTGCAACCTCGGCTCACTGCAACCTCTGCCTCCTGGGTTCGGGTTCAAGCAATTCTCCTGCCTCAGCCTACTGAGTAGCTGGGGACTACAGGCGCGGGCCACCATGCCCAGCTAATTTTTGTATTTTTAGTATAGACAGGGTTTCGCATGTTGGCCAGCCTGGTCTGGAACTCCTGACCTCAGGTGATTCGCCAGCCTCAGCCTCCCAAAGTGCTGGGATTACAGGCGTGAGCTGCCGCGCCTGGCCCACATTGACTTTCTGAATATATTTCTGTAGGTGTGTCTCTGGTAGATACCTCAGAATCTTTACCAGAATGACACATAATATAAATAATAAATAAATACATATATAAATATAAACCTTATATAATATTTTAGACATAGTAAGATTTCAATAAATATTTAATTGAGTTAAATAAATGAGCAGGTTTCTAAAATTATCTATGGTGTCTTAAAGGGTAAATGTTACTCACTGAAGACTTTGATGACAAAAAAGACCTTTGGACTAAGACATATGGGAAAAAAGTACACTCAAGAGATTTTTTTCCTTACCCTACCATGCAATATTATTTATATAAAAATCACTTTATATTTTTTAAAACCTCAGTTACTCAAGAATAAAATAATCTATAGATAACATGTATATGATACATATTTAGGGGAAAGATAAATGTAGTTTACAGAATAGCTAGGAATCCAAATTTGTCTCACTCATTGTTATGATTCTCAGAGAATATTTCATTTTCCCATTTACATCATATTGTTGTAATTAGATAACTTTGCATAAGCAAATAATCTAGTATAGTAAAAAGAAAGAAGCATTTGCTGCATTTCTGCTGTTTTAAATTCTTTCTGTATGTTTGTATCAGTTTATTATCCCAATAATAGGGATTAATTCATCATCTAAAAACTCTAGGGGTTAAAAAAAAAAAGAGGAATAGATTGCTCCCATTCATGCATGTGTAGTCTGTACAGTTGGCACGTTCTGGCTGGGTTTGTCTGAGGTCAGTCTAACCTGCAGCTTGAGTCCGGGTCTCCACATATCTGTCATGTTTCTTGGACAAACAGGCTGGTAAGGGCAGCTCTCGGTCCTTCCCAAGTGATGAAACAAGCTCAAGATGATAAGCCCAATCATGCATGTAGACATCAAGTCACCGCTTAAAGAACATATTGGCATATTACGTAAACATATATTACATATGTTATGTACGTGTGTGTGTGTGTGTGTATATATGTGTGTGTATATATATATATATATAAATTTTTTTTTTTTTTTTTTTTTTGAGACAGAGTCTTGCTCTGTCACCCAGGCTGGAGTGCAGTGGTGCCATCTCGGCTCACTGCAAGCTCTGCCTCCTGCGTTCGCGCCATTATCCTGCTTCAGCTTCCCGAGTAGCTGGGACTACAGGCGCCCGCCACCACGCCCAGCTAATTTTTTGTATTTTTAGTAGAGACAGGGTTTCACCGTTTTAGCCACGATGGTCTCAATCTCCTGACCTCGTGATCTGCCCTCCTGTATACGTATTTTAATATTAACATTGTATGGTTGGCTGAGTGAGAAGAAAAATTTCTTGAGTACAGTTCGTTTTGAATGTTCTTGAGTTCATCTTATTCCAAAGTCTGTATTTATGTCAAAGTCCACCGATTACACACCTGCCAAATAAAGTTATATGACTATCACTAAAGTCAAAGATAGGGAAGTGCCCTCTTCTAATGAGAGAAATCATAAACTCTGGCAAAGAGCATATAGATAAATGAGAGACAAAGACTTGGGGTCAATAATTTTATTTTCCAGTGCCTTCTCCATTTGTCACATTTAGTCACATCTCTCTTTTTTCCCACACACAAAATACCTTCACCCGTTTCTCAAGTACCCTCAGAGTTGTCATTCAATAATAATATTGATGTCCACAATACCAGAACTATTTAAAGTCCAGAATCCTATGACCAACACCCAAGTGTGCCTTCAAGTCCAAATTCTTGTAACACTGAAAACCACATGTCACACTAGATGTTAAATGTCTACGCATTTTTCTTTCAACCCCAAAAGCAGGCAGGCAAAATATTTTGTTTGACTTTCAATGTTCAGAGTCAAGCAGAATAAAATCTTCAGAAGCACTGTTGTATGATACATGATTTAGAGTATGTACCCACCAAAGTGTATTGAATGATGCATTAAAGACATGTCAATACACATTTGTTGGTTCTCAGACAAGTTATTGAGCACATTGAAATGTAGTCTGAAGATAAAATTAATTCTGTTACAGTTAATATAACTCTAAGAGTTTTATACGCAATGCGGGAGACAGGATGAAAGATGTGTCAGTCATCAAACTGGGGATTTTTCTATTGGATATTTTTATACTTTTTCTCCAGAAAAAAGAAAAGACAAATGGAAATCTAGAAGAATTAAGAAGACTTAAGTGTGAAATATTTATTACATTTGAGAGAGCTTTGTCCTAAGTAGCATGACCTATCTCAGGAGAATGAGTCCGATTGAACAAACTTGGCTTGCTAAGTAAGGTAATGATTGGGTATGAGTAATTAGACTTTCTGACATGGCATAAGGAGAAAATAATTGTTTTAAGTAACATTTTAAAGGAATGTATGTCAGCAAAAATCCTGTCTAGAATTGGGGGTGCATTCCTCAGAGAGAGGGCAAGGGTTACCACAGGGGGCCTATGATCTGTTTGGGCCTATACTAATGCAGCTATTGTGTTCCCCCATCTGTACTCTTAGGAAAACATTCTGAGAATGTTCCCAAGTTCTCTGAATTTCCTCAGGCTAGTCTTAGCGGCTCCTCAGTGGAGGTTGATTTTTGCCCAAAATCGTCGTTCCCATTGCAACTTGATATGGGGCACATATTCCATAAAATTCATCCTAGCATTCTCATTATGTATCTCCACAAAGCTCCCTGTCCTTATTTATAACAGAAATACTTCTCCAAGGAGCAAAACATGATTGTGGAAAATTATCTTTATTACTCTTCCACCACCCTTTTATCTTCTTTTGCCTGAGAAGCTGTTTGCGCAGACCTATGAATCTCTTCTTTGTGACCTCTGCTTGCATCTCACTTTCCCTTTTACAGAATAGGAAACTCTCCTGTCATCATCACTTTCTGCTCCTCTGCATTCATTTGCTTTTCTTCAGCGCAGCTCTCCCACTTGGCAGAAGGCCTATTTCCTGTTTATGGTATATGCCCCCAGTTAGGCATACGCTTCATAAGAACAAAGTGTTTGTCTGTTTGATTCATGGCTGTTCCTCAGTGTCAGCCCTTTTTGAACAAATGAATGAACTTCCTCCTTTCCTCTGTACAGAGGCTATATCTGAAATCTATGCTTAAAGATTCCCTGTATTAAGCCTGAGGTATTATTTTTTCAGGGATTACTTACACAGCACCATGGACATTTTATTAGAATTCCAAATAATTATCAATAACAATAATGTTTTAATACTTAACGAAGACGCTTAAATGATGGGATTTCAAGACAAAGAGAAAAATACATTTCAAATATGTTGGTACTAAGTAAAATTCTCCCTTTTTTGCCTAACTAAATAGTGATAACTTAGGTAACTATGTGAAAAGAAGACATTATTAATTGGCTTGACTGGTGTAACCTACTAACGTATCTGGTAAAGATATAGTTACTTATCCTTCTTTAGAGTAAATTACTAGCAGTGCAAAAGAAGAAGGTGAGCTCTCTATGTCAACACCTTATAGCATGCCTTTGAAATTATTGTGTGGCTATTCATTTTTGACATCATCATAAAAGTTAAGATTGATTAGTTAGCATAGATAAAGAATATTTCTACATAATCGGTTTAAAATTAGAAGCCAATTAATCCTCTCAACATAATGAGACATCTGAGAATATATTAAATTATCTTATTAGCTGATTTCTTATTTATTATGAAATATATATGCAAAATTAAATGTTGAGAATCAATGTACAGTGATAAATCAAGAGAAATGTGCATGTTTGAGTTTACTTGCATTTAAGCTTTTGTAATTCATTTTATTTGGAATATATACATATAGATAGACATAGACATATATAGTTAACTAGGTAAAATAAGTTTCATCAAATCTCTGACCATTTATACAGGTTGCTCTAATTTTATACACTAACAAAACATGCCAGAAAATTCTACAGACCTTCATAATTCAATTTTCCAGTTATAATAAACTCATACTCTTTTAGGTGAAAAATCAATAATAATCTCATTTATATGTACATATTATAGTAGACAATGCAAAGGCCCACCAAAAATATTCATAACCAAAGTACTGATATAATATACTAACATATTAACACATTATAATTACTATCATTTTAAGTCACTATGTTTGTGGTCATAGTATCAAGGGGATATTCCCATATATAAATATCTATATATATACACACACATTCAAACACATAATGTCAATAAATATACCTTACTGTCTCTTGGAAAATATATAGTTAGATAAAGGAAATAGGGATTGCCAATGGGAAGGAATTGCTATTTTTTAAAAGAGTAACAATAAAAAGAAAGGTGGTTTTAAAAAGTTCTTTGGCAAGGTGAGATTTGAGTATCATCTTGACTGAAAGTAAAGGGTAAGGCTTGAGTGGATCTGGGACAAGGACATTTCAGGCAGATGGATTTGAGATGAGGGAGAAACAGCCAGAAGCAAGAGAGCCTGGAACAGAGTAAGCAAAACACAGCGTGGTAGGAAAGAAAATCTGAGAGGTTCTCACATTGTCTGTAGTAAAACAGAGGGTAAGTTTTTATTATACATTTTGTCTTAAGCAGAAACTTGTAAAATACAATTAAAATGGCTTACTACAAACACAAATTTAAAACAAACACAGACTTACAAAATGGAAACAACATTTAAATATGAGTCCAATTACAAAATTAAATTTTTATGAATACAAACAGAACAAATATATGATAGAAGAAAATATCTACAGCAACCATATTTTGTTTATGAAAATGGCATGGACAGGAAAGAACAGTTTCTGGACCAGCCTTGGTCCAGGAATCCCATTCTGAATCGCTCTGATATCTATGGACCATTTAAAGGACTTTTCTTTTTTTTCTTTCTTTTTTTTTTTTTTTGTCTGAATGAGACTGGAAGCCACTGTAAGACTTCCAGTGATGTTTTTAAGTTTACATTTTATGAGTAATATTCTACTTTGTAGAGAATAAATCACAGCGGGCAGATATGCAAGCAGTCAAACCAGCAAGGAAGTTATCAAAATAATCCAAAGAAAAAATGATGGAAGCATTAACTCAGGTAGTGGTCAGAGAGGTAAGAAATGTTGAAATTCTGAACAAACATTGAAGATAAAGTCAACGGAATTTACAGATGACCGTTTTTTAAGATAGAAAATATGGAGTAAAATTAAAGATGAATAAAGGTTTTGAAATCTGAGTATGCTGAAATATGTAGCTACCATTTCCTTAGAAAAATTGGGGGTAGAGTAGATTGAGGGGTGAAGGGTCAGGAGTTTAATTTCAATGTGTAAAATATTATTACATTTTTATTGCTGTGTAAAAAACTGCTGACAACTTAGAACACCAACCATTCATTACCTCACAGTTTGGGTAAATCAGAAGTCTGGGCTTGACTTAGCAGGAATCTCTGCTCAGGGTCTCAAAGGGCAGAAATCAAGGAGTCACCCACACTGAGGTCTCATATGGAGCTCAGTGTCTTTTTAAAAGTTTACCCAGGTTGTTGGCAGTATTCTGTTCCTTGAAGTTGGAGAAATGAGTTCATGCTTTCTTGCTTGCTGTTAATCAGAGATTGTTCGCAGCTCCTGTAGGCCACATGCTGTTGTTCCACGCAGGTGTTCCTCTCTATAACATAACAGTTCTTTGTTCAAGGCCAGCAGGAGACTCCCCCTAGTCAGCTACCAAGGAATCTTCTATAAAGTAACATAATCATGAAGTGACTATCCTAGCACCTTGATAACATAACATAACATAACCTAATCAAGAGAGAAGTCATTCTATTATGCTCACAGGTACCTACACAGTCATAGGGAGAGAATTATTTATGGTGTATACACTGGGGACTGGAAATCTTGGGGATCATCTTAGAATTTCTTACAACACACTTATTTTGTATCTGAGTGGAGACATCAAGTAAACTGTTAAATACAGAAGCCTGGGATTTAGAGAAGGGTCTGTGTTGGAGGTTCACATTTGAGCATTTGTTGGTTATTCGATATTTATGTCCTCTTCCCCCCATATACATTCTCATTTTTATTGTCATAATCTATATCACGGAAGACAACATTTATAGAAAACATGTTCTGGGTTTCTTTACCCTCTGATTCCAAGCTTTCTTCAACCAATGGAAAGTAACAATTTTCCAAATGTCAGAGAGCTTGAACATGACTCTCAAGTTGACTTCCAAGCCTTCATTGCCAATGCTCCTTTTGGGTTTCTCCTCTTCTGTAGTTATGAAACCACCTTTGCAAAAAGTATAACAGTGAGAAAATAATAATACTGAGAGATTTAACCTAAGAACCTCCATCTTGCCTTTAATCTTCAACCTTCCCTTGGGCCTTCCTAGGCATAGGCTGAACTAACTTTGGGAGGAATTTAGTTTATAGTTTAACTTTAAAACAAAGATCATAAGTGCCCCTCCCAGAAGTAAATCCCCTCCTTGCTTGGGATTTGTAAAACTCCCCCTCCTTTTTAAAACTAACAGATTAACCATAAGAATAGAAATTATGGCTCAGCAGTCATTCAACCAGAGGCTACAAGATTCCTAACTTCACTGTTTGCTCCTATGAATAACATTACCATTGTAAGAAATAAGATTGGTGTTTCAGGTCTTTTTCAGACCCTGCATGCAAAAAACTACATGGCACCACCCAGACCAGTAAACTGGCTCACCTGGTCTTGTTGTCCCCATGCGGGATTTGACTGAGCACAAGAGAACAGCTTCAACTCCCAATAAATGCATCCCCAACCCAACAAATCAGCATTATCCATTTCCTAGCCCCTGCCTGCCAAATTACATTTTCAAAACCCTAAATTAGTTCAACCATTCTGGAAGACAGTGTGGCAATTCCTCAAAGACCTCAAGACAGAAATACCGTTTGACCCAGCAATCCCATTACTGGGTATATACCCAAAGCAATATAAATCATTCTATTATAAAGACATATGCATGTGTATGTTCATTGCTGCACTTTTCACAGTAGCAAAGACATGGAATCAACCTAAATGTCTATCAGTGATAGACTGGATAAAGAAAATGTGGTACATGTATACCATGGAATACTATGCAGCCATAAAAAGGAATGAGATCATGTCCTTTGCAGGGACATGGATGGGGCTGGAGGCCATCTTCCTTAGCAACCTAATGCAGGAAGAGAAAAACAAATACCACGTGTTCTTATTTATAAGTGGGAGCTAAATGATGAGAACACATGGACATGTAGAGGGGAATAACCCAGACTGGGTCCTATTGGAGGGTGGAGGGTGGAAGGAGTGTGAGAATCAGGAAAAATAATGAAAGGGTACTAGGCGTAATATCTGGATGATGAAATAATCTGTACAAGAAATCCCATGACACAAGTTTACCTATGTAACAAATCTGCACATGTACCCCTGTCAGTGTTACCCCTTCTTGTGTAACAAACCTGCACATGAACTTAAAAGTTAAAAAACAACAACAACAACAAAACGCCCTAGTCTTCAAATTTTCAGCGAGGCAGATTTGAGTAAAAATTAAACTCTGATCTCCCATTTAGCCAGCTCTGCATGTATTAAATTCTTTCTCTATTGCAATTCCCTTGTCTTGATAAATTAGTGCTATCTGAGCAGTGGGCAAGAACCCATTGGGCGGTTACAGTTAAAACTCTTCCAAGGATTTGATAACACCATTGCTTCCCATTCCCCCTTCAGCCTAGGGTTAGCAACAGCTCTCCACCTCACTGGTGCTAGTTCCTGCCTGCTTCCCCATTCCCTTATCAGTTGATAAATTATCTTCACCACTTGATAAATAGTTCTTTTGCTAAACTTTCTCTTGCTATCCTATGGAGTCTACCATCTTCCCTGCTGATACTCTCAGTGGCACAGATATCACCAAACAAAGGAAAAAGAAAATAACTGACTGAAATCATTTAACTCGCCAAATTAAATGGAAGAAAGAACATAGTCCTTAGGTGAGCATGTCGTATATAAGGCTGGTATGGTAAAGTTGAAATTAGAGTTTATTACTAGATAGAGAAATTTTCTAAAAAGACTTAACATAGTTCAATGTAAAGATTGTATTATATCTGTGATGTGAAATAAAAACACTGTAAACCCAATTGAAGGACAGAGAAGTCCCTCTATGAAAAGCTTAAAAATCTTTAGTGCAGGCATTGAGTTAAAGTGTGTTAGATGAGAAAAACACATAGAGAGGAGACCCCAAAGGCACAAGAACACATATTCAAGGAGAATGGCAAAAGAGGAAGCGACAGTAGCAGTATATAAAATGCATATTTTCATGACCAGTCCTCAGATTGGCAATCATGTAAAAATGCATTGAGATTTAGAGGCTGCTCTCAACAAACCCTAAATCATTTGAATAAAATCCCTTCATGTTTCTGTCTTAGTATCAATATGGCAATGTCTAGACCAACATAGTAATTCACAACCAATAAATTGACTTTTAATTTCAACCAAGAAAAATATTTCCCAGCTTCTGCAGGAATATTCCCAGCCACTTGAGAGAAGAAAGGTTTAATAACGTGATTGTATAAGGAAAATGGTGTAACTAGCTCAGTTCAACATGGTGGTTGTAACACAGTGGTATTGCTGTGAATTCCAAGATCCCCATGTAATCTCTGTGCGGATATATTGCTTAATATCTATGAACCTCTATTTTTTGATATGCAAAATAAAAAATAATAATACTCAACTCAATATTCCGTTGTGAAGATTATATAAGCTCATGTATGTCAAGTGTCAGGCACATATCAGACATTCAACAATATTTTCCCTTCCTCAATTTTTTTTTACTTAAAATCATAATAAATACAATTCAAACTAATTTTAATACAAAAAGTTAGTCTTAGATATTTGTGATAATTGCTGCTTTCAATATATTCTATGCAAATATAAAATATTATAGCAATAATATACATAACTTTTGTATAAATGTTGTATTTGAAAAGGATATTAGAAGCACATGCCTTGGATGAGCACTGTAACATTCAGAAAATGAAAAACACTTGATATTAACTTAAACTTGAATTTTTTTTCACCCATTGACATTTCGGGCTTTAGGAATAACTGAAATGGATTCACTTTTCCTTAGGTTGTAGATAGCATGTACGGGATCGCAGATCAGAATAGAAATCACAGTGAACTCGTGGCTGCAACTAGAGCCATGTGGCGCACAGGCCGTTAAATCCATGCCACTCTCCAAATGCTTACAATTACCTCCAAACATTTTTTTCAGAATACGAATAATCGGGATAAACCTATGGGAGAATTTAGTTAGTTAACATTTTATAATGTAGAATTAGAGCCTTCTGCCAATTCTATAGTGTGTTTCCTCTACACATATTAATTACTGGTATAGAAAAATTACTAGTGTACAAAAGTATTAGTTTAGGAAAGTTAGTGTCACTGATGGCAGTTCTGAGCACCAAAAGTGCTGCCCTGCAGTAAATAAGGCTATTTCCTTTTTTCGCTTTTATTTTCCATATCATTGAGTAAACCAATACAATAGAAAGAAAGAATGTATTCACTGCTTCTAAGTGCTGGACATTAAAATGTCCGGGATCATCAAAAGTGTTTTATCATTCTGTCATATTTTAAATGCTGTCATAAGGCCTAAATTTATTTTTCCGATACAAATTGCATCTCAATTTTCCTATAGTTTGAAATAGGAGCAAAATAAACTTCTGCTGGCCTTTTGAAAGTCACTTTGGCCTTTTCCCAGGGATTTTGCCTTCTGTGTTGTGAATTGTTTTCCCCAACAATGGTAGAAATGCCTCTTTCCCTCAGAGATGGAGAAATTAGGCACAGAGTTCCTCACTAAGTGTAAGAGACCTGACCAAGACTGAGCCAAATTTAGGAAATAATACTGAGAAATAAGGAGCTTAATGAAGGATAGAAAAACCTGGCTTCCTTTTGCCTCAAGCTGGGTCCCCAGAGGCTTGAATAAATATATAGAAAGATGTAGAGAAAAATGTACAAGAACCAATAGGAATTGAATAAAGATAATGCATTCATATGCAAATTATCTGAGTGTAAAACTGTCACCTTTTTGATTCACAAAGCTGTATATTACCAGAAAATCAGTTAGAAAAATGTGTCATTCATATGTTTATCTAACTTTAAATGTAATCTGTGAAATTGGGAAAAGTACATGTGTATACATACACAGAGTTAGTTTTATTATATAATTATTGAATACTGCACTTCAGTAGGCTAAATAACATGCAGGAGAGTAATTTACTTTTTCAACATATGAAGGCTGCTTCATGTGATGATTCTAAATATATTTTGAAAGAAGTGTTATTTTGGTAATTTCACATCAGCTAGTGGGAATTTTCTTTATGGTCATGCTGCACTTTAAACCATGTAGACCAAAATTTAAATTACCATGCAACTGTAGTTATACCACATTTGTTTAAGATGAAGGACATAAAAAGATTTAAGTTTATTTTTTAAAACATAAATTTATAGAATTAAATAATATTTCTACTTTTGCTATTTCATTATTTAGACTTTAAATAATGCCTGATTATCTCCAGAAAACATGTGTCATTATGCTTCTAAGGGCTTTGTTTTACTTTAGCTTTTATTGCAAATGGGTAAATATTCATTGAATTTAATCATAATAGCATTGTCTTTATCATCAATTTATTGTTAAGGCAAATTATGAATATCTCTATCCTGTATTTTTTTAAATTTTATAAAAAATAATAAATTCTTAGGATACCTTTGCTAACATGCTCAAGTAAGAAATCCCTTTACTTACAAAATCATTCCCAATTAAGGGAGCTGTTTTGCCGTAGAAATAAAAATGTTATGAATATCATTTATGGTAAAAATTTGACCTTTTTTTAAACCACCTGGGGAGAATCAACAGTTTGGGTTCATATAAATGTGAACAGTAATGTCCTGTTTTCTACTATATGAATTCCTACTAGACAGAAAATCAATTTCTTCAATGGATTAACTATATTGGCCTGGGATACTTTTCAACTAAGGCACAAGATTTTGACTAAAATATATCGATCTATGTATATCTATATAACTATATCTGTATCTAACTCTGTCCTCTCTGGCCTCTCCTCCTTACCTGTATCCACAACTAAGTATTTGTCTTGCCTGCTCACACACACTGCCCATGAAACCTATGGGATAAATTCCCTAGAAGATATATGCTCTCTGGTTGTCTTTTGTAACTATAACCTAAGAGGACAGTTAGCCTAGTTAATTTTTTCAGTGAATATCAATTCTTTTGTTAAATTTCCTGATGTTATTAAAAATTAGATTACTATCTATATGAACATCTTGGAGATTATTAATAATTATGGTTATATAGTTTACATTCCTTAAACTTTTATTAGAAACTCTGTAAATCATTACGTTAGACACTGCAAAAAATAAATTTATCTCACATTTTAGAGTCTCTGAGAATAGTTACGAATCCAGGTCTTAGCTAGAAATTTTGTCCTTTCGCGTTCAGAAATTTCTGCCTTGAAGTAAGGAAAATACTGTGAGTTTCTTTTTTGTCATTACATTGGATTTTTATATCCTAACGAAGACATGCTCTCACCTGTCAGTTTTTCACTGAAGTGCCCTAAGTGAGGAATGAGAGTGCCCTAAGTGTAACATAAGTTCAATTTCTGTCACTTTACACAGGCCTTTCTTGGACATAGTCTATTTGTACTTCTACCCATAAAAACTTACCAGAAAGGGGTAGCTTAGAGTAGTTATTCTTTCTTAAGGGAAACTAAAAGAGTCCATGGCAAATATGTTGCTTTATCTCTCTTCTGGGCTAAAGAACTTGCATGTCTCTTGTTCCCAATGGCTGTAGCAAAACCATATCTCGATCTTTTCTTTCTGATGAAGCTGTCATTTGGAATTGTTTTCAAGATTGCTGGATTTTAAACCTGATTCATTGCCAAGGTTGGCTTTTGGCTATAAAATTATAGATCCTAGAGCTAAATGTCAAGGGGACCTGAGAACAAAAACACAGAAGTATAATCCTTAAGAACATATATTTAGAGAATTTTACTTTCTTGTTTTATAAATATTTAACATGCAATAAATAATCCTAATATATTTTATATATTTTATGTAGTACACTTTACATTTAAATTATTTTAATGAGAAGTGTGTGATGAGAAAATAACCTAGAGATTGTTTGAATAAATAAAATGTACTTTATATGATCCTTTGTAAAATATGCAAGTAGCCTTAGGTTTCAGATGGTGCTTATTTTATTCAATGGCACAATGATGATCAGGATAATAAAGTTTTTGTTTTTTTTCAGTACAAGTGGCATCTTTATCATCTGGAATTGACAAGTATGTGACTTTATGCTTCATTTGATAGAGGATATTTTAAAGGATAAGAGCTGAGTCACGCTTTATAGTAACAAATTAATCCTTAATTAGTGATATTTAAGTTACCAGTTACATTATGTCAGTGATAAACCGAATAATATTTATTCATTAATATAATCCAAAGTAAAAGTGCTTTTTCTCTCCTCATGGGGTTAAAAATGTCACTTTTTATTTGTAATGTGCTTTAAAATAATTGGAAACTGCTGTTTCTACTGTCAACAATGGTGTGAATATAAAATAAATGGTGAAGAAATAAACTTTATTACATTTTACAGAAATAAAATACCTCTAATTTCATAGAAAACATTTTCTTTTTGAAGCAGAAAAATGATATTAAAATAAATGCATCTTGATTTTTAGAAAAATTATCAACCAATAGCAGAAAGACTCTAAAAATTTACATGTAATTAAATTGTATATTAAATATTCCAAGAATTACTAATATGGTAAAATTTCCATTAATAATGGCATTATAAATACATCAATATTTTCATAAATTGTTCCTGATAATTGGACTTTTCAAGTGGTATATATAATATGCTGGAAAGTATAAAGCTATTATATTTTCTTAAATAAAATATTTACTGAATCATTGGCAAACCAACCATAGTAGATTCTCAAATATGTCAGACTGCTCACAAATATCATTCTCATTTCCCAGTATGCACTAAATAAATAATGAATAAATAAAATTTATTTATTTATTCATTAATGAACAAAAAGGGGCTTGGTTAATGGCAACAGAAAATATTTCAAAGAAGGAAAGCCAAGAAGTAGTCACCAACTGGAAGAGCAGAAGAAGTAAAACATCAGGTCTGTACTGATGTAAGAAGTGTGTGAATTCACCCCATAGTTCCCAGAAAAGGCTGAAGTCACCAATTATCATAGAAAATGGGGATGACCCATAAGGCTGAAATAGAGATTTTAATAAAAATCTAAATGTGAAATAATTATAATGATGATTTCTGTCTTGCAACCTGTGAAAACACATAATTAAAGCTCCCCATCCTCTGAAAGAAAACTTGGAGCAGTTTCATGAAAGATAAATCCAGATAATTTATTGAATAAGAAAGCTCAGGGAACCCAGGTCAGATGTGAAACTCATAAGATGAAATAAAAATTGCATGTTGGAAGCTGGGACTTCCGATTTATTTTCTCTACTTGATTGCTAATATATTGACAGACAAATAAATTAAGCCCACACAAATGAGGGATTGTTAGCCTAAAAACAGAAAGGCCCCAAAGAAAAGGTATGGAATATTAATATCTCTTTATAAAAAATGGGAATATCATTTCTGACCGGACTACCACATAGCACACCAGTCAACAAGGTCCCAGCAATGCCTCAATCTTCAACATAAATTGAAAGCTAAAAATCATCTGCAATCCCTTATTATAGATGGAGAAACCAGAAACTAGAGCAAAATCAGCAAAGGATGACAGATATAGGAACAGAAAAAGAGAAATGGGATCATATTCTAGTGTCCTCAATTAATGAAGGGGTATCAGTAATTGACAGCATGAAAGAGTAGATGATAGAAATCATGTAAGAGTCACACTTGAACAAAGCTACTGGAAAAAGAGAGCAGAAGATTATCTGGAAATGTCACTAGGTAGCCGTGAGGTCACTGAAATAATCATCTAAGCCTAACATGCAAAGTGTATTTAAAAATAATGCCCTTTACCTGAGAAGGCTGTTGGAAAAGCTGTATCTACAAGGATCAGCCACTTCTGAAGAGGTGAAAAACATCAACAAATTGACTTGCAAACTACAAGCTCTCACCTTTCCACTCACTTGTGGGAACTGAGATTATTGAATAAGTTACCACATAGGAGTATTTCTGAAACAGATAAATTTGTAAATAAATAAACAAAATAATCAACATCTATATTCATTTTGTATTAATTTTAATATCCTACCTAGTATTGCCTAATGACCTGCTGTCCAAGACAAATTTTCTTTCTTTACCTTTTTCCAATTTAAACCGTTTTCTAATACATGATCACCTCAGGTTTGGGATTGCAGCTAGGACTTGTAAATGTGTATATTGAAGCACTTCCCAGGTTAAAAAAATCAATACTTGTTACACTTGGGCAAATCCTATATATTCCACCATAACATGTAGTATCATCAGTGTCTACTCAAGTCACCAGACAGGTATAGGCTAATGATTTAAAATACTTAGAAGGAGGGTAACTTATTAATTTCAGCAGATATTAAGTATTCATTGAATGAATTTGGAACACAGAGGAGATTTTTAATTTATAGCAATATGTTTTAATAAGGCAAGCTAACACATAATAATTTTATGTTTTGAGCTACCACATATCTTCTGTAATCTGTATTTATTTCAATTGAAGTCAATTCTATCTAGCAGAAAGCTTCACTTAAAGAAAAAATAAATTTCATAGCCTTTAGACTTTTTTTCTTCTGAAAAGTGCAAAAGTGGGATACTACCATACAAATTTGAATGCTGGCATATTCTTCCTTTAAAATATCTGCAAGGGAATGTGTTTTGTTTGTTTGTGTGTTCATTTTTTCTTAAAGTGTCTGTAATGAAGGGCTTCTTTAATTCAGTATTGCTCATTTGTGATAATAGGAATGTTATCCCATCAGCAATATGCTTGAAGCTCTTTCTTTTTAAGATTATATACAGCAAAAGTCCATTGTAGCTGCCTCTAGGTACAGTGTGGAGCACATCTTTATAAAATTCATTTTAACAAATGAATTAGAAGATGAGTTACACAAGTAGCTTAGAATATTCTTTAAACATTAAGTGTTGAACAAAAGCAAAAAAAAAAAGATACAACTCAATCCAATTAAGTAAATCTAGTTTGCTTTAAGGGCAATGTTTAGCTCCTACTTATAAGTGAGAAAATGTGGTATTGGGTTTTCTGTACTCAGAACAATTAAATAAAAATGCCATCAAATTAAAAAAATAGTTATCTGACTTGAAAAATTCAAGGTGATTGCCAGTTATCTATATTTTATATACATTTTGGATTTCACTTGTGGTGCCTGCAATGGAAAATTCAAATAAAACAAGTAGTCTTGGCTTGAATTACAAAAAGGTTTTATTTGTTTAGAAAGATTCTGAAAAAAAATTTTTATGTTTAATCATTGTATCTTCTTAAGGCAAGAATCATTTAAAATGTATGGTTATAGTTTTTTCCTCCATTTTTCTGATGTAATTCATTACATTTGAGAACATAAAGCTCCTTTATCCTGAAGCCTAGTTGGATGATGATGATGGCTTTTATCCTCAGAGAAGTGTTAGATCTATCCAAATATAATTTCTTAGGTTAAATAAATAATTAACTGTTAGAGGCATTTTAGGTGTCAAAATATATCACAATTTGCCTGATTTTGTTTTATTTATTTTTAAGATACAGGATGTTTACTTTCTAGTAACAAATAGCAATTTATAAAAAAGGCTATGTGCTTTGTTTAGATTGTAGAAAAATATGAGTATTATAATACTTTATTTCTGTAATTCACTCCTGCAATTTAAAATGTCTAAACACAGGTTGTATCTATTTGCTTTTAAAATTTCAACGTTACAGTCTTAATAGGGTCAGATAAGCATTATCCTTAAAATTTGCAAATATGTCACCACGCAGATTTGTTTCCATGTTACTACCTGGTCTGGTGTATACTTACCTTTATACATATTTGAATAGTCTATTAATATTAATATAACTTACTTTAAATGGTACTGGGGATAATTTTTGATAATACTATATCATTTTCTGAAACGAAAACCTTACATTTCTTCCAACCAGAAAGTGTGGGATGGAAGAGTTGAGTAATTTGGATGAACAAATAAACAACAGTATGTATCTTGATATCCTCTCTATAGCTTAAAGATTGATAAATAGGTTAATTGGATTCCTTTGCCTACTTTTCTGTTTGGATCACTAAAGAATCTTCCCTACCGCCATCAGAATTGCTTCAGCTGTTTGATACTCTGTCAACATCTGGAAAGGAGAGAACGGAAAAGAGGGAAATACAAAAGGTACAATTTGAACTCAAAAGACAGTATTCTATTTATTTATTTATTTATTTATTTATTTTTCCATGATTTTATGAATAATTTCAACTTTTATTTTAGATTCAGGGGGTACATGTGCAGGTTTGTTACCTAGGTATATTGCATGATGCTGAGGTTAGGGTACAAATAATCTTGTCACCCAGGAAATAAGCATAGTACCCAAAACATAGTTTTTCAGCCTTTGTCTCCCTCCTACTGTGTCCCCTGTAATAGTTCCCAGAGTCTCTTGTTCTCATCTTTATGTCTCTACGTAACCAGTATTTAGCTCCTACTTATAAGTGAGAACATGTGGTATTGGGTTTACTGTTCCTGCTTTAAGTTACTTAGGATAATGACTTCTAGCTGCATCCATGTTGCTGCCAAGGACTTGATTTCATTCTTTCTATCAGTTGCATGGTATTCCATAGTGTATATGTACCGCATTTTCTGTATCCAGTCCACTATTGATGGGCATCTATGCTGATTCCATCCAGAGATATACCGCAATACAATAATAACTGGAGACTCCAACATCCCACTTTCAGTACTGGACATATCATCCAGATAGAAAAATCAACAAGAAAGCATCAGATTTAATCTGCAGTTTAGGCCAAATGGACCTAGTGGATATTTACAGAACATTTTATCAAACAGCTGCAGAATACACATTATTCTCCTTAGCATATGAGTCTTTCTCATGGATAGATTGTATGTTAGACCACAAAACAAGTCTGAAAACATTCAAAACAATTAAAATGATATCAAGTATCTTCTCTGACCACAATGGAATAAAACTAGAAATCAATAAGAGGAATTTTGAAAACTGTACAAATACATGGAAATCAAACACTCTTCTGTGAAATGACCAGTGGTTCAATTAAGAGACTGAGAAGGAAATGGAAAACATTCTTGAAACAAATGCTAAGGAAACATATCAAAACATATGGGATATGTTTTGTAACAAGAGGAAAGTTTATAGTATAAATATAGCAGTATCAAGAGGAAAGTTTATAGCTACAAATGCCTACATCAACAAACAAAATTTAAAAATTCAAATAAACAACCTAATGTTTCATCTTAAAGAATTAGAGAAGCAAGAGCAAACCAAACCCCAAAATAGTAGAAGGCAATAAATAATAAACAGCAGAGCAAAAATAAATGAAATTGAAATAAAGAAAACAATACAAAAGATCAACAAAATGAAAAATTGGTGTTTTGAAAATATGAACAAAACTGACAAACCTTTAGCCACACTGAGAAAAAGACTAAAATCAATAAAATCAGAGACAAAAAAGGAGACATTATAAGCAATATTGCAGAAATTTTAAGGCTTATTAGAGGATATTATGAGCAACTATACGCCACAAAATTGGAAAATCTGGAAGAAATCTATACATTCATAGACACTTACAACCTAACAAGATAGAACCATGAGGAAATTCACAACCTGAACCGACAAATAACAAGTAATGTAATTGAAGCTGTAGTAAAACATCTCCCAGTAAAGAAAAGTCCAGGCCCCAATAGCTTTATTGTTGAATTTTATCCAACACTTAAGAAAGAACTAATAACAAACCTACTCAAACTATTTCAGAAAAGACAAGCAGAGGAAATACTTCCAAACTCATTCTACAAGGCCAGTATTACCCTGATACTAAACAAGACAAAGACACATCAATAAAAAGAGAAAACAGTAGGCCAATATCTTTGATAAACGTTGATGCAAATACCTTCAACAAAATACTACCAAGCTGAATTCAACAGTACATTAAAAATATCATTCATCATGATCAAATGGGATTTACACAGAAATACACAGATGGCTCAACATACATAAATCAATCAATATTATATATCATATCAACAGGATGAAGGACCAAAACCTCATGATGATTTAAATTGATGCTGAAAAGCATTTGATAAAATTCAACACACTTTCATGATATAAACCTGCAAAAAAACTGAGTATAGAAGGAACATAACTGAACATAATAGAAACCATATATGACAGACCCATAGCTAGTATCATACTGAATGGGGAAAAACTAAAACCCTATCCTTTAATATTGGGAAATGACAAGGATGTCCACTTTCAACACTGTTATTCAATATTATATTCAAAGTTTTAGCCAGATAAATCAGATGAGAGAAATAAATCAAGGGCATCTAATTTTAAAAGAAATGAGTCAAATTATCCTTTTATTCCAGATGAGATATATATATATAACCTTATATTGGGAAAATACTAAAGACTCCACCAAAAAAACTATTAGAACTAATAAAACAAATTCAATGAAGTTTCAGAATACAAGATCAGCATACAAAAATCAGTAGTATTTCTACATGCCAACAGTAACACAAAGAATAAATACTTCAGGGGATGGGTACCTCATTTACGCTAATGTGATTATTATACATTGTAGGCCTGTATCAAAATATCCCATACATCATATATATATATATATATACACACACACACATTATATATATTATATGTATCTACAAAAATTAACAATCTGAAAAAGAAATAAAAAGGTAATCCCATTTATAATAGCCACAAATAAAAATAAAATACCTAGAAATTTACCAAAGAAGTGAAAGATCTCTTCAATGAAAACTATGAAACACAGATGAAAGAAATTGAAGAGGAGACACAAGAAAATGGAAAGATATTCCATGTTCATGGACTGGAAGCATCAATGAGGTTAAAATGTGCATAATACCCAAAGCAACCTATAGGTTCAATGTAATCTCTATCAAAATACTAATGACATTTTTCATAGAAATAAAAAAAGTTCTAGAATTCATATAGAATGACAAAAGACCAATAATAGCAAAAGCTATTCTAAGCAAAAAGAGCAAAACTGGAAATCACATTATCTGATTTCATATTGTACTATAGAGCTATAGTAACTAAAGCAGCAGAATACTGGCATAAAAAGAGACACATAGACACATAGACCAATGGAACAAAAATAGAGAACCCAGAAACAAATCCACAAACCTACAGTGAACTCATTGTTTACAAAGGCACCAAGAAAATACACTAGGCAAAACATAGTCTCCTCAATAAATGGACCTGGGAAAAATGGATATCCATATGCAGAAGAATGAAACTAGATCCCTATCTCTTAATATATACAAAAACCAAATCAAAATGGGTTAAAGACTTAAGTATAAAATCGCGAATTATGAAATTACTAAGAGAAAACATTGGGGAAACTCTCCAGGACATTGAAGTGGACGAAGATTTTTTGCATAAAATTCCACAAGCACAGGCAATCAAAGCAGAAATGAACACATGGGATCGCCTCAAGGTAATAAACATCTGCACAGCATGGGAAATATTCAACAAAGTGAAGAGACAACCCATAGATTGGGAGAAAATATTTGCAAATTGTTTATCTAAAAAGTTATTAATAATCAGAACATATAAAGAACTCAAACAACTCTGTAGGAAAACAAAACTAATAATCTAATTAAAAAATAAGAAAAGGATCTGGATTGACATTTCTCAAAAGATGACATATAAGTGACAATGTCCTCAACATCATTGATCATAAGAAAAATATAAATTAACATACAGTGAGATATCATCTCACAGCAGTTAAAATGGCTTTTATCCAAAAAAAAAAAAAAAAAAAAAAAACAGGCAATAACAAATACTGGCGAGAATGTGGAGAAAAGGAAACACGTGTACACAGTTGGTGGAAATATAAGTTAATAAAACCACTATGGAGAACAGTTAGCAGTTTCCCAAAAAACTAAAATTAGAGTTACCATAAGCTCCAGGAATCCCACTACCAGATATACACCAAAAAGAAAGGAAATCATTTTATCAAAGAGGTATCTGCACTCCATTTTTTTTTTTGCAACACTACTCACAATAGTCAAGATTTGGAAGCAACCTAAGTGTCCATCAACAAAAAAATGGATAACGAAAATGTGGTACATGTACATAATGGAATACTATTCAGCCATTAAAAGTGAGATCCTGTTATTTGCAACAACATGGATGAAACTGGAAGCCATTATGTTAAAAGAAATAAGCCAGGCACAGAAAGACACACTTTGCATGCTCTTACTTATTTGTGGGAGCGAAAATTTCAAACAATTGAACAGATGAAGATGAAGAAGAGAATGGTGGTTTGTAGTTCTCCCTGAAGAGTTCCTTTACATCCCTTGTAAGTTGTATTCCTAGGTATTTTATTCTCTTAGCAGCAATTGTGAATGGGAGTTCACTCATTATTTGGCTCTCTGTCTGTAATTGGTGTATAGGAATGCTTGTGATTTTTGCACATTGATTTTGTTTCCTGAGACGTTGCTGAAGTTGCTTATCAGCTAAAGGAGATTTGGGGCTGAGACAATGGGGTTTTCTAAATATGCGATCATGTCATCTGCAAACAGAGACAATTTGACTTCCTCTCTTCCAATTTGAATACAAACCACTGTTCAAGGAAATAAGAGAGGACACAAACAAATGGAAAAACATTCCATGCTCATGGATAGGAAGAATAAATATCATGAAAATGGCCATACTGCCCAAAGTTATTAGTAGATTCAATGCTATCCCCATCAAGCTACCATTGACTTTCAGCACAGAATTGGAAAAAAAACTACTTTAAACTTCATATGGAACCAAAAAAGAGCCCACATAGCCAAGACAATCCTAAACAAAAAGAACAAAGCTGGAAGCATCACGCTAGCTAACCTCAAACTATACTACAAGGCTACAGCAACCAAAACAGCATGGTGCTGGTACCAAAACAGATATATAGATCAATGGAACAAAACAGAGGCCTCAGAAATAATGACACACATCTGCAACCATCTGATCTTTGATAAACCTGACAAAAACAAGCAATGGGGAAAGGGTTCCCTATTTAATAAATGGTGTTGGGAAAACTGGCTAGCCATTTGCAGAAAACTGAAACTGGACCCCTTCCTTATATTTTATACAAAAATCAACTCAAGGTGGATTAAAGACTTAAACATAATACTTAAACCATAAAAATCCTAGAAGAAAACCTAAGCAATACCATTCAGGACATACATATGTGCAAAGACTTCATGTCTAAAACAACAAAAACAATGGAAATAAAAGCCAAAATTGACAAATGGGATAGAATTAAACTAAAGAGCTTCTGCACAGCAAAAGAAACTATCATCAGAATGAACAAGCAACATACCGAATGGAAAAAAAAATTGCAATATATCCATCTGACAAAGGGCTAATATCCAGAATCTACAAAGAACTTAAACAAATTTACAAAAAAAAAAACCTATCAAAAAGTGGGCAAAGGAGAAGAACTAGCACTTTTCAAAAGAAGACATTTATGCAGACAACAATCATATGAAAAAATGCTCGTCATCACTGGTCATTAGAGGAACGCAAATCAAAACCACAGTGAGATACCATCTCACGCCAGTTAGAATGCTGATCATTAAAAAGTCAGGAAACAACAGATGCTGGAGAGGATGTGGAGAAATAGGAATGCTTTTACACTGTTGGTGGGAGTGTAAATTAGTTCAACCATTGTGGAAGACAGTGTGGGGATTCCTCAAGGATCTGAAACTGGAAATACCATTTGACCCAGCAATCCCATTAATGGGTAATATACCCAAGGGATTATAAGTTACTCTACTATAAAGACACAGATACATGTATGTTTATTGTGGCACTATTCACAATAGCAAAGACTTGGAACCAACCCAAATGTCCACCAATCACAAACTGAATAAAGAAAATTAGGCACATATACACTATGGAATACTATGCAGCCATAAAAAAGGATGAGTTCATGTCCTTTTCAGGGACTTGGATGAAGCTGGAAACCATCATTTTCAGCAAACTATCACAAGAACAGAAAACCAAACACTGCATGTTCTCACTCATAAGTGGGAGTTGAACAATGAGAACACATGGACACAGGGAGGGGAACATCACACACTGGGGCCTGTAGGGGGTTGGGGTGCTAGGGGAGGGATAGCATTAGGAGAAATACCTAATATAGGTGACGAGTTGATGGGTGCAGCAAACTCACCATGGCACATGTATACCTATGTAACAAAAGTGTACATTCTGCACATGTACCCCAGAACTTAAAATACAAAAGAAAAGAAAAGAAAAAAGAGTAGAATGGTGGTTACCAGAGGCTTTGAAGTATGGTACGGGAGTGGAGGTGGGGTTTTGGGGGTTGGAGCTGAGATGGTTAAGGAGTATAAAAAATAGTCAGAAGGAATAAATAAGAGCTGGTATTTGATGGCACAACAGGGTGACTATAGTGTATAATAACTTAATTGTACTTTTTAAAGTAACTAAAAGAGCATAATTACATTGTATGTAACACAAAGAATAAATATTTGAGGGGATTGGTTGTTACCTCACTTACCCTGATGTAATTATTATACATTGTAGGCCTGTATCAAAATATCCCATACATCCTATAAATGTATACCTCTAATATGTACCTACAAAAATTAAAAATAAAAAAACCTCCAAACTGCTTTACACAGAGGCTGAACTGATTTATATTCCCATCAAAAGTATGCAAGCATTCCCTTTTCTACAACACCTCATCAGCATTTATTTTTTGTCTTTTCATAATAGCCATTAATAATATTAATCATATTATTATTTATAATAAATAATAACAATTAATAATGATTATTATGATTAAAAGGAAAGTATCATTTAAAAAGACTAAGCAAATTATTAAGGTTGGTCTGAAATTACCAGACTAGCTTATATCCACCCTCGTGCTCTGTTCTCCTGGATTGACTCATGAGGCAGCTCATATCATCTATTAGAAATTTTTACACAGTTGAATAGAGTGTGTAAGTGTACGTGCAATATGGAAATTGGAAATCCCTGTGGAAGAGAGATAAGTCAATGTAATTTGCCGAATAATATTAAGAAGCAGGTTTTTATTTATTAAACATTATTTGCTGCCATGTGAATCATATTGATTTGTATATAACATTTCTGATTATCCATATTACAAATCAAGGTAGCTAGGCATTTCTAGTAATCTACTTATATCTTTACAAACATTGGACCTTTAAATGGTAGAAATGCTTCAGAGTTGATGCAATATGCATGTAACTCATGTAGAAGAATGGAGGGCTACACATTTTGCAAGGTTTCAAGTTTAGAATTCCAACATTAGATTAAAAATCAAATGAATATTCATGAGCAAATGAAAGGAGAAATAAACTGGGCTATACGCATACAATGGAATATTATTCAGCCTTAAAAGTAAAGAAATTTTGACATGTGCTACAATGTGGATGGAACTTGAAAACATTATGCTAAGTGAAATAAGTGCTAAATGAAATAAGCCAGGCACAAAAGGACACAAGCCAGGCACAGAAGGACACACTTCACTTACACAAGGTACCTAGTAGTGAAATTTATATACAGAGAAAGTAGAATGGCTGTTGCCAGAGGCTGGGATGAATGGAATGGGGTTTTAGTTTTCAGTAGGTACAGAGTTTCACTTTGTGAAGATGAAAAAGTTCTGAAAATGGCTGCTGGTGATAATTGCACAATAGTGGAAATATACTCAATCCCACAGAACTATGCACTCAAAATGGTTAAATGACAAATTATACAGTATGTATATTTATATCACAAGAAAAAAAGTAAAATTCAACGGAGTAGAGATTTTGAAAATCTTCTTGAGTTTGACATTTCACTCCACTCCATCTTTGAGGCTTTAGAGCAGCCCATAACCTGGAGTCAAAACCTAGGAAAGGTACTCATAACCAGACTTTTTGATTCCAAAGTTAAGTTCTTTAAGAATATTCTTCCTTGAATCATTTCCCCCATGAGAAAAGAATTAAGCTATCTCAATAATTTGAGAAAACTGAAAAACTTCAACCTGAGCAAAAGTTCCAGAATTAGTTTAAATTTCTTTTAACTTCTTTAGTCCTTTCTTTTTATTTTGCCTTTGGCAATGCAGCATAATCAGAAAAGCCGCTTTTGGAGAAAGAATTATTTGCATATCTTAGGATGAGTAACAGGTAAAACCCAAGAAATGGGTATGAGGTCTAAGCTATTTGCTAAAAAAGTGAAATGGAGGAAATGTGATTCTATTAAGCTGTTGAGAAATGCTCCATTGATGTCATTATTATTTTTTAAAATCCCAAATCTATTAAAATAAATGACTAGAGCAGAATATGAGAAGTAGGGCCCAATCTATGCAGGGAACTCTGAAGACTTCATAGTCATACTTTTAAAGCTGAATCTCTCTGTAGTCATTAAAACTAGATGAGATTTTGCCAGCATGTCCAATATCTTTGTGTGACTGTGTACCTAAGGTTGTGCGTGCATGTGTGTGTGTGTGTGTGTGTGTGTGCACGTTGTGGGTGGGGGGCTTGGGGGTAAAAGAGAAAGGGAGAATCTATGAGAGAAAAAATGTACATGAAAATATTGACCTAAAACGTATCTCTGGCCGAGCCTGTGTGAACAAGTACAGATTTTAGACAACTAGATTTAAAGAAGATTTGAGTGCAAACAAGATGAAAAGGAATCACTTATATTGATTGAAGAAACAGATACAATGATGCTTTCTTGTTTTCTCTGCTCCTTTAGTTACAAGATTTTTTTCTCCAGGAGTGTAAGTAAACACTTTTTGGTGCCTTCCTGCTCAGTTTACAGCACACATGGCTAAAATGTGAAACCTCAGATACACTCTATGCATGCACTCTCCAAATTGTCCTGAAGTTTTTTATACCAAAGGCATAATAATTGGTGTCAATCTTTGCTTTTCTCTTTTTGTACTGCAAAGTAGTTCCTGCATAGTCATTGAGACTGCAGTGTCCCTATTATAAGAAGCTATCACTTCTTTTTTCAATGGAACAGATATTTGATGATCTGCTGAAAATATATTTGTGAGCCTAAAAGATATTCAAACTGTGAAAAATATTTATATAACAAAAGATATATGGACAAGTGGATAAATGATTGGTGACATACCTGGGGCTGCCCACAAGGTTTTGTTTTGTTTAAAAAGGAAATCTCTCACTCCGTTCTCCTGGATAATATTTCTGGTCATGACAGTTTTGAAATGTAGTCTATTTTTTTAAATACTTTGCATGGAAAATGGTCATACAGATAGCTAGTTTACAGAGAGGGAAAGAGAGAGGAAAGAGATAGAGAAAGAGAGAGAGATTGATAAATTAAAATTAAAATTAAAACAAAAGCAAAGCAATTAAAAACTCAAAATAAAATTTAAAATGTCTTTTTTTTTTTCCTTAACAGAGAAACTTTGTGTAAGTCAGTCCATTGGAGTCTATTTTTCTTTTCTTAAGCATAGCAGCAGGGGTGCAGTGACACTAGTATGATACATTCTGATTACCTGTGTAGTTTGCATAAATGATTTACATGTCTCTCAATCAATCTGCATGGTGAAAGTTTCTGGAGGAGGAGCAGACTGTGAAATGTACTATGAGTAAATCTTAAATCTAAGGCCCTGCTGGTCACTCAGTCACTGGAGGTAGAGAGCCACTCTGCTTTTCCACTTTCCATTATGACTTTAAAAAATGTTTTAGAATTATTTTGGCTCACTCTATGTTGTGCTTCTTATAAATATGTCCTGTTGAATGTGGTACATTATTTTCACAATTTACATTAATAACTCAAAGTGTAAAGTCAATAGAAAGTTTGAAACAAATTTTAATGGCAAAGGACAGTTATTCTTAGAGATTCTCTATCCTTAAGTTATTGTTGTTGTTCATCTATTTGCATTGCCAAAAATACTCTCTTCTGTTATATTTTATTGCAATATTATAATATTTATATTATAAAATTATTTACTGAAGTTTGTGGTATCTCCCAATTAAACTATAAGATAGAAGTTATTATTTCAATCTATGAAGTAGGAAAAGTGATGTCTAGAAGCGCAGTTACTTGTCCACAATAACACAATTACTAATGTGAATACAAATTCAAAGCAAGATTAATTTGATTCTAAACCTATACATTTTCCACTAAGGCTTAATAGGAAATCATTTCTCATCAGTGTTTTCTAACATACAACATTCCCTAAAATTTTATGCTGCAACCAGAAGATTTAGACACAAGCATTAAACCATAGAGAAAGAGTATAAATATTCTTCAACATTTTAAATGATGTATCTCATAGGAGTTTACTTTATGTGGACAAATAGAAACTAAAAACCAACCTGACTCTAGAAAATATGTTTCTTTCCTATTACCTAGCAACAATAAAACCATTTTCTTTAGGAATGATTTCATGTTAATTAGCTTTTGGATATAGTAAGAATCAGATCCGATGCATTAATTCATCCCCTCAATAGACACTTATGATGTATCCATCTACTTTGTACCCATCAATAGTTAATGCCCTTCTTTTTTCTGAGACAGGAAACATAGAAGAGGAAGAGGATTATCGGAAAACATTGTATCAAAACATTTTGTTTTGAATGTGTTAAGATGAGATGTTTGTAAAATTTCTGAGAGGATATATCAAGAATGAAATGGAATATACATTATCAAAGCTGAAAGGAGAAGCTTGAGCCAGAGATTAAAATTCTGGAGTAATAATCAATTGCATGGTAAACTAGGCCAATAAAACAAATAAAGGTGACTGCATAAGACATAAAGAAAGAATAGAAATGGAGGCCCATGACTGTTCAGAGAGTGTACCATGTTTGTGGTGAGAATAGACAAAAAGTCAACCAAACAGGTCAGCATGCGCTGACAGAAGGGAGAATATAATAGTATGTGAAGAAATATACTATGAGACATTTTGTCCTAATTCTTAATAATTTTAATTATAGAAGTTGATCTTGATTTGTGTTTATGAGTTTTGACATTATCTGAATTTATAATTTAAAAATATAATATTTCTAATACTTTAACCATATCCTCACATACATCAAGTTCTTTAGCACAACGTTCTGAAGATTGACATCTAACTATAGAGAAATTAGACAGCAACACTAATGTAAACATTTTCAGTAATCATTATTATCTCATGAGGGTAAGTATGACTACACAGATACATTTCTGACAACTTTTTTAAATATACTGTAGTTAATCTGCCTTATGTAATGAAGTACTGGTTAGTGAAACCTCCCGTGCTTCATAATTACCACAGTTTCAAAAGTACTTTCTACATAAATAGCTGGGCAATTTCTTTCAAATTACAAATAACATTACACATTACCTAACATCACTGTATGCAGGATACAAGATGGTATTTATTTTCCCCTTCTCGGATGTTCTATTCAGTTAGAAGGATAAATAAAAACACCTGCCTGGAACATTATATCCATTTGCATTTCAGCAGCTTCTTTTGTGGTTTGAAGTTTTGTTTAACAAAAGGAAGTAGAGAGGCAGGTGCACTGAGAAGAAAAATTATAAAGTAAAAAGAACTGAACAGAGAGAAAAGGTAAACATCTTAATGAAGAACCAAAATAGAATAGAAAACAGAAAGGGATAAGAAATTTATTGTAAAGCAAACAATTTAAAAGATTTTTTATCCTTAACATGGTATACAAGTTATTCAGTTTATTTGAAAATTATGCCATAGCAATTTAAAAATCAAGTTTATTAATAATTTTGAATTTATTTCTTCTGTTGAAGTGAATTAGTAAAATACTTTCTTTTATAGATAAAACCAATTACAAATGATAATCGTGCTTTGGATCAGGGTAACTGTGACATTTCTGTAGGGGCCATCTTAGAGAACAATGTGCAATGTTCTGTTACTTTAAGTCACTGTATCCATCTGCTCTATTTCATGCAGTCTTTCTTCTCTCTCTTGAAAAGACTCCTGTTACTGCACTTTCTTCACCATGTCTTTCCAGATTAATTAGAGAGAGTAACTGACAGACCCCTTCATTCTCTCTAGCTGGACCATGGAACTATGCTTTCCTGCTTAAACTTTATTCTGGAACAATTTTATTAATCTCTTTAAAGCTTAAAATTAACAGATATTTAAAATAAAATATTTCTAGGGTATTTCATCTGTGTGGATTAAAAAAGAAAAAGTAAATTATGTAAAGCAAAATAAGTGGTATAAAGAGAAATTGCACTGGACACCTGTGAAAACACAGCAAGACAGGTTATTTGAGCTACTGCTGTGGAAGAGAGAGACTTCAGTATAGAAGATGCACAACACTGAATACCACCGGGATAGTGGGGGATGTGTAGAGAATTACAGCATGAAAGCATCAGTGGATGGAAAATTACTAAGAGGAACTTGATTAGATGCAAGTGTGAGGGGAAGAAAAAACAATCAAAGGTAGCAGGGATTCTCCTAAACTCGCCTAGAAGGATAACTGCTGAAACAAAACTCAGCAGGCTAAGGACAATGAACGGCTAGAACGAAAGAGGGGTCGGAGGAGATTGACTGAAGTTTGGTTAAGGAGGAAGTCGTTGTCAGTGGAGAAAAAATCCTTTACACATGTGCAAAAGTAATAGGATAGGAAGGTCAAACTATTTTGTACATTACTGTTTGTTCACTGTCATTCAAGGAGTTTGGTCTCATGATTGCATACGATTTTAAAGCTGGCACTTCCCATATAAGTCATTCACGTCTTTAATGTGAAGATTCCAAGTCTTCTCCAAACTGAACAAACTGCTTTAATAGATTAATTCAACTACATGAATTTAAATTAGATTTTGAAAGGTGCCCTACTGTCCTAGAAATTTTAGTTTTCTCTTTGGAATCAATGAGTCATTAATTGGTCCCTTCAAGTCACTAAAACGAACATGTTACCCCTAAAACTCTTCTCCGTTCCAAACTCTCTCCCACTACCAACACCCATCACTGTTATTTAAATATAATAATGGTCCCAGAAAAGATAAGAAGGGATCAACTTACAAAGTGAATATTTATTTGATCCTCTCTTTCCTTGTTCTTACTGCTCTAGCATGAGCTTTTCTCCTGCCTCTAAACTATTTGACACCAGTCAGAGCCAACCACATGACTCTGAAACGTGGTAATCAAGGGACAACCCAAACTTTGATAAGCTGATGCTTGCAGTTTCCTTAAATAATTTTCTTAGTCTGTGTAAGCTACGCTATATTTGACTGAGGCTCAATCAAAGGCTGAAAGCTTTCAGTCTACCTATACACTTCCTTGGTAAATAGCCAACTGAGGAAATACATAAAGTTATTGTTACTTAGCTTCCATCTAATTAAAAGTCCTCAGTTTATGCAGAAATCATTGGAGAGCATGAATTAATGGATATGAAAAACAATTATCATACATGTCAGCGTACATTTTATTGTTGAATTATGTGGTTTCCATTCTTTCATCATTGATGTATTGAACATCATTATGTGTTAGGCTTTCTGCTATGTGCTAGGATGGCATTGGAGAACAAGATATATCACAACCCTGAAATAGCTCATAGGCTTATGGAGCCATTATCAATTAAAATGTTTGCTTCTAGATGCTGTTAGGGACGAAGGACAGCACACTACCACAGGTTTCACAAAGTGTGTGTGTGTGTGTGTGTGTGTGTGTGTTTGAGAGTTGGTATGAGGGCAGTGCAGGCAGATGGAATACAGACTATATGCAAGAGATGTAATGCAAACTGCACGTTATTTAGTACTTTGGAAAATGTAAAGATTAAACTGAGCTGGGATGAATGGGATTTATCTAATCAGTGTGTTTTCTAATTTGGCATCTGGAATTCTGGCCAATTATTGCAGACATGCACATTTTTCTTTTGCTTCACATTTAAATAATTTCTGTCTGTAAAAGTTAATTGAAATTCTACCTTTTTATACTTTTTAATTGAAAAATCTTGGACTAATTAATACTCAAATTTCAGCATCCATGAAAATTGCCTCTCAGACTTATAAAAGCACAGATTTTATAATAATAATCTCCACAGATCTGGAGACTATTGGGCTCAACTTCCAGAATCTTTGATTGAGTGGGCTCGGACCAAGAACATATATTTCTAACAGTTTCTATTTTATACTGCTGTTTCTGGTTTAGGTAACCTACTTCAAAAAATCTTGTCTTAGAAAAAGCACCTCCCAAATATCCCTGAAGATATGAATTACTTGCAGATTTTGCGTAACACATAGCTTCTGAAGCTTTAAACCAAACCCAGTAAATCAGTAGATCTTCATAATTTTGTTGATAATTATTAACGGTATGTTTAACTGCTATACTTGTAGGATACTTTTCCAAAATCCTACAATTTATTTCCTTTTACTGTTCTTTGACCTTACTTTATTCTCTTGTCTCACATGCCACCACCACGTCCTTCTAACTCACTTTCTGCTTCTCCTCCGATTTTTCTGAGATACTTCTCATCCTCTCCTAGATGTCAGGAATAAATAAATGTCAGGAATGTAAGAATGAGCAGTTTTAGTCTCGATCATTTTTCCTTAAATGACCTCATCCATCCCATGGTTTACAATGTTATTAGTTTACTGATGACTACAGTCCTAACTCTTTCCATGAGTCCATACTTCTGGATTAACAATGCACAATTTATTATTCAGATATTGATTTCAGAGGTATGGATATTTTTCCCATTTTTTCAAAAACACAGGTACTTGTAATAAAAAATAGTAAAATGAATACTATATGATCACTATAATGAAAAGATTCAACAATTGTTATTATTTCCCATATTTGTTTTGCCTCTCTGTTTTCCTGAACTATTCAAAATTAGGTTAGACAAATCATGATAGCTCACCCCTAAATATCTCAGTGTGCACCCTCTATGACTAAAAGTACTCTCCTATGCATCAACCATGTTATTTTCACACCTAAAATCATTTAAAATAATTATACAATATTGTGTAATATCCATTTCATATTCACAATTTAGCAACTATTCCACTATAGTTTTTATAATGTTCATTTCCCTTGAGTCAGTATTTAGTCAAACTTCATAAGTTACATTTTTTGCATTGTCTCCGTAGTCTGTTTTAATCTAGAACATTTCCATTCCTTGTCTTTTAAATTACACTGACATTTTAAGAATCTGAGCCAATTGTCTTGCAGAATACTATATCCTTTGAAGTTCTCTGAAGTTTTTTCTCATACTATTTCTTAAATTAGTCTTGGCAAGGGTATTTTCCAACTGATTCAAACTTCATATTAACCAGAAAGTACATAATGTCAGTATGCCCCACAGCTGGTAATTCTGAGTTTAGTCATCTGGTAAAATAGTAACCACCAATCTTCCAATATAACAGTACATTTTTTCACTTTCTAATTAGTTAATAATGTATACAGCAACAATTTGACACCATCTAAATATCTTGTTTTTCTGTTGTCTTTTACTCATTATATTTTAGTATTCATCGATGCTCCCTGTTTGAATCAACTTCAACATTGGAGGTTTAAAAATGCTGATTTTATTATTATATTAGAAATATACATTAAATAATAAAAGATACTATGGGTACTCTTCATGTAGATGCAATCACTGCGCATTCATTTGCCCCAAGAATTTTCTAATCTGATCTATTCACACTACAACATAATATATGCAGCAGTTTTCTAATCTGATCTACTCATACTACAACATAATATAGACAGGATTTCAACACAAATTCCTCAGAAGTCATTTTCCTGAAATGTATCTCACTATAAATTCCAATCCAGGGCCAATTCAAAGACTTTGAATGTGCAATATATTTGACAGTGTTTATCATATCCTCTTCTTAAAAATTCACTTCCTTGCACTATCATAGAACAGGTAGACTTTTGGAGCATTAATTCACTGTGCTATGCATGATTTCACTTTTTTTGTGTCTCCTATGTATGATTTCACTTTTTTCCACACTCACCCAATAATTAGTGTTACAATCCAAACATTATAGATGAGGAAATGGAGGCTTGAGGGAAATGGTAACTTATCTTAAGCCATGTAGCTATTAAATAAATGCAATCAGAATTCAATATGAAATCAGTCTCACCCTGGAGACTCCATTTATTGTTACTGCACTTTACTGCTCTACTTGCTTTCTCTACTCTGATATCCCACAAATAACTCCATATGATGATGTGACAACTGAACCATCCCCAAAACTGAATTATTCCCAAAATGTATTTCTCTAGTATTTTTAGCAAAACATACGAAAACTCTGAAAATTATACAAAATTTTCCATCTCCCTCTCCTTCCCCAAACAGTAAGTCCTAGCAACCCCCTAACTCTGCCTATTTATCTCGTACTCTGTCTCTGTCCTCCTATTACCATTTTTGTTTATTTTTCTAACCTCTTGCCCCTGTCCATGTGTACCCATTATTTTTCCTGTTCTATCTTTTTACATTATTTGGTCCACTTTTGACTCCACATGAGATTAATATTTCAAAATATGTATCACAGTTTAAAATCTTCCTTAAATCTGTTAATGCTGCTTCAGCAAAAGCTCAAAAATCTCTGTTTTCTGAGAAATTTGTAAGGTAAAAAGTATTTTAGAATTTGGAGACTGTGGAATAACTATTCCCATTGTATGTTTTTGGAATATCTAAGCCTTTGTGAGCCTTATTGTGAAAATAACTATCAATATATATGTATAATAAAAAAGAGAAATATGAAAATGAAAAATCCATTAATTAGCATTCTTTTATAAGAATAAAAGTTTATAGCCTGAGATTGTTTTCAAGGCAACCATATGGAAACTTCTAAAGCAGTTTTATATAAGCATATTCTTCAATCCTATATCTTTATTAGGTCAGAAGTGTACGTAAATTGGGACCTACATAACTTTCTATTTTATCCACCATTCTTCCTCTGCTCCCTGCTAGTCTCCTCACAAAAAGAAACACTGTAGGGCATCCAACTACTTTCAATTCATAGAAAGTTTTCTATAGCTACTCTGTTCTTATTTGTAAATCAAGAGGCATCTCAATATTGCCCTTTGAAGCCATTTCTAAGAAAAGTCTTAATCCCTCAGTTTATGCCATACATATAATGAAGGATCTGCTTTCCAAAATTTAATTCGAGGACTCTGAAATAAAGAACTATACTAGGCTTTGTCTCTGGTTCTTGTAACTTCCAAATCCTGAGTATTTTCAATATGATAGGTGTGCCTTTATTATTCATGGTGGGCCTCTGGAATTATATCACCCCTGATGGTTTATTTGAAGTAGATGACTCCTGGTGAAGCCCCAGGTAGTTTATTCTAAACAGGTGACTCAGGATGGGGCAGGTCACGCCAAAAAAAAAAAAAAAAAAAATCCATAATAAAATAGGTTTGGAGCGTTCAGCCATGTGATATTAGTCCAACCTAGAGATTGAGTTTAACCCTGTGAGTGATAATTCAATCAATCATCCCTATGTAATGAAATTCCTGTAAGAATTCTGGTCACTGAAGCTTAAGTGAGCATCCTCACTTGATAATACTTTGTGTACTGTCACACACAACCATGTACTATAAGGGTGATCCCTCTCAATCTTGTGGAAGACAATCTTGTGGAAGATTGTACCCTTAACCTTGGGTTTGGCGAACTATTGCAGGAAGAAATTGGATCAGATTGAAAAAAAATGCTGATTTCTGGTCCCATAACAGGTATGCTAAAGCAATATTTCTTAAATATGAAGCAGAAATCTGTAAATTAACCATGGTTTTCATCTAAGATTTCTAAAACATAGCCCCAGTTAATTATCAAGTACTTATAATATGATATTGAAGGTATTTTATTAAATATCTATAAATGGAACATCAGCAACTAAAGAGCAGGGAATACATTTTATACATATCTACATCCAAAATATCCAGTAAAGCCACATTATCTGGGCTTCAGGAATATGTGTTTATGTGATTTAGATTTTTATTTATCTGTCGTTTCTGCATAATTTGATTATTAGCCAATTTGCATGTATACATTATGCCATAATTACTTTTCTCTCAAATCCCTAGGATATTTATTAAACAATTAATTATTAACATGTCATACTACTGCACAACTCCTCATCTATTGTAGTAGTGTTTGATTTCAATGATAGATACTGAAAAAACTACATTCCAAATTTTGATTTGTCTCAACACAAACATAAATAGTACTTTGGGAACAAAGTTTCTCAGCTACACATAAATACTTTTAGAACTCTGACATTTCATCTTGTGTAAACATTTCACAAATCCTTCACCTGATCCTTTAGATCATTCTGTAGCAATTGTTCTTAGTGACAGTTCTTTCAGGAGTCTTCTGTGCTTCCAAAACTTTGATTGCAAGTCAAGAATTTCAATCTGGTGAAAAGTTTTTTTTCAAGATGATGGCCCTGAGTCCAGGACAATAAAATCCATCAGCAATCACTTCCATGATGACTGACAAAATTGATTGTCTATCAACACCATCATAGTACTTATCAGAAATAGAATCTACAGTCAGGCTAGCATCTGTCACTGTAGGGATTTCAATTGATTTTTTTTCTTTTTATTATTTCACCTATTTATATAAACTATTGTCAGTCTCATAATTCTGTATATTTCTAATGCATATTTGAGAAACAACTTACACTTTATTCTCTCTAATTATAACTCATGTTGGGTAGGTAAAAGCATTTCATGTATGGTGCTGACAAAAATAATTAGGACTGTATTTCTATACATATTTTATGTCTTCTGCATGTGCCTATCACAAACATAGCACTTGGCTCATTTTTACTGGGTGCAAAAAAAATCTTTTTCAAAATACAATTTATTTTTGTGTTGTTGTTTTTTGGTCAACAATATTGGCATTTAATGTGATTATATGTAATAAATTAAAATTGAAGCTACATTTTTTGGAGTTAGCACTTTTTTTTCAAATTTAATTTCTCAACACTTTCCAAGGTTACTTAATTTGAGAACTTTATACTTAAGTTTTACCTCCTTCCTCTGAAGTTTTGGATTTATTCTACATCAAAAAATATCCATGGCCTGAATTTGACATTTCTCTTGCATTTCACTTGGTGGACAAAGACATCTCCTTCTCATTGTAAACTATTTTCAAATAATATTTCTTATTCAATCTTTTTTTTTAGGAAAGTGGTATTTTATCTTCAAAGCAGTAAGCAGAATACAGTTGTTTGCATTTATTTCCTACATTTTGAAGAAGGCCTTGATGCTAATGATTTTTCACCTGTGAGTCAGCATATTATTCATATAAGAAGCAAGTCTGGGTATTCTTCACAGGAATTATAAATATGACAATTAATTTTTACATAAAAGGTGCATAAAATTGTGTCTCAAACATATTCCTTGTGTGGTACTTTGTGGGAGTATTTAAAATTCATGCTGCCATTCAGGTTATACAGTATATGAAAATAAAGTTTGAAAGATGACATCACTGAGAGTCAACTTATTAAAGAATGTGACCCTGTAGAGACAAAATAGAAGTCCTATATTGTGGAATATTTTCTTCAGTAACGTTAACTAATAATGTAATCCATGGTTAGACTAAAAAATTAAACCACTCAAAAGCCATTTATCAACCCAGTAAGACCCAGAGTTAGTATACAAAGTAACAGCTAGTGTCAAATTGAGATGTTCACTTATGTATTGCATGCCTCGTGTCTCTTACTGAAGAACAAGACTCATGTCAATTCGAGGGTTCTTACTGCCCCAGGCAATATGAAAAATGTCTCCTCCTCCTAGCGAGTAATCATTCACATAATAAACAGCCACAAAACACTTCACTTTTCTAATATTTTGCTGCCCCAGGCAACCAGCTGTTCTACCTATATGGTACAGCCAGTCATAACTATTGTGCACGTGCAGTTACAGTGGCTTAATGTAATAGTAATAAAGACGTGTAATATATTCTGAGTCACAGCCTTGAAGAATTGCCAAGTTCAGGCCTAGATCCTCATTGTTTGAATTTTGACTCTATAACTTCATAAGGGAAATGGATTGTAGTATTTACAGTATTTGAAGTATCATACAATCAGCTTTTAGATTTTTCTCATGGTTTGAGAATTATACATGGCTAACTCACACAAACTGTCCTTTGTTAACAAAAATAATTATTAGCTGATTCTGGATTTAAGGCAATACTTATTTGTCAATTATGAATAATTTATGAACATTTCCCTGTATTATGAATAATAGTACTTTTGAATTATAAGACAGAGATAAGTAAAGTTGTAATCCATGAATTTAGATAAGGACAAAGCTTAGACAATTGAAATCAGATTATAAGTCAGTTAATATAAGATAAAAAACACATTCTTACATTTCTATTACATATATATGCTAGCTAATGTCGTGCCATTTATTTTTATATGTATTTTCTTTGTCCTCTCATTAGATTATAAGTGCTTTCAAGTCATATCCATGCTTTATATCACTTATGCCTAAGTTAAACAAAGCATGCAGTATCTAATTGATGTGGATAATGACATTGTTGATAATGGTGATTGCTGATGGTGCCTAATTCTATCCTTCAAATGTCTCTGAGTGACATGATCCAAAGGAGTGACAATGCATTGTATTTAAAGTATTGGGATTAGAAAGTGGAAGTCTTAGGGTAAGAGTGGGAAGTTTAAATTCTGATCATCAACATGTTTAAAGCAAGAGAAATGCAAAGAAGGCTGAGAAGTAATGCTCAGACTTTGATAAGCAAATTATATACATATTCTAACTTAATCATCACTCTAGACCTGTCCCTAACATTTGTGGGAGCCAGAGCAAATGCAGTAATAGAGGCTACATCGAATATATGCAAATATTTAAAAGTGATGTATCAAGCCAACAAACTCCTAAATAAAATATATTCTATCTCCTAACCCCGACAAAATCAAGCAAACAGGTTAAAAATAGACAATCTTTATAACAATCTGGAAGACCTAGTTAAAAAGTAAAGTTCAGAGAATCCATGAACTTCCGAACCAGAACACGGTGACAGAAAGATAACTAAACCTCATTGCCTTTCTCCCTTTTTCTTTCCATGGGAGTGTCCCATATCATAAAGCGGCTCACATGCGTGTGTTGACAACCCTTAGCACACATGCAATCTGTGTCCGTATCTTCTGAAAATATCCTCCTCTTTGTGACACTAAAGTCTGGGTTATGTACACTGAAAGGATGGTTTACCTTTATCAAAGGGAAGACTGGAAAAGAGGCCTATGCAGTCCTAGTAAGTGGGTTTGGGGGTTATAGTAACTCAAACGTGGTCTAGAATCAGCCATGTGGCTACAGGGGTAAACATCATGTGTCCCCAGAGTCCACAGCCCCCAGGATCTGTGCCCCTGTTGTACAGGTATATGGGTAATATTGCATCACTACAGACTTGTGAAGTATTCACATCCCTGTTGAATAGATGAGTAGAATGTCTGAAAAAGTAAGAATATTGCTTAGAGTCACACAAATAGTAATATGAAAGTCACAATTTAAATCCAAGTATGCTTTTATACGAAGCACTTTTAAGTATACTTAAGTGTTTTAATTCAAAGCACTTTTAAGAATATATTTAAGGTGAAAATCAACAAGAAAGCCAATGCATGGGAACTTAATAGATTATTAGTTAAAAAATGCCATAAATTGTATTAACTTAATATTGTTTTCTGCATGTTGATATAACACCCAATAGGAGAATTTCATCTAATAGTAGTAAAAATTCAAATAATGGCCCAAGTAAAAGCAAATAGCCTTTATAAGAACTATTTTAAATCACAAACTGCCAGTGAAATTAGAAATATTAACAATATATTTATGTTTTACACTACAGCACTACCCACTGGAAAAACAAAAATCTGTGATCATCAGTAGCATACTGCAGCATTAAAAAGGACAGATCCCTGACATTTATAACTGACGAGTAGTTAAGTTTCAGTAAGTTTTATCTCAAAGCGGCGAAAGGATAAATAATCAATTTTAGGTAATAATAGTAAGTAATCAATTTTAATCCCAATTTTGATTGAAATAATTAAGTGATAAAAAATTTAAGGCAGGCTTAATTATATGAAACATTACGGGCGTATGATACTTGCCCAGCGTGTTCTGTGGTTTATTCATCAAAGGTATTTTGGCACACTAAAACTTAAGATTAAATTTAAAAAATATTATTTGTTATGGGCTAAATTGTGGACCCCAAATAACATATGTTGAAGCTTTGGTGAATACTTTTAGGAGTCAGCTTGACTGGATTATGGAACACCAGGAGAACCAGTAAAGCATTATTTTGGAGTCCACCAATAAGATTGGTGACTGAGTGGAGAAGATCCAACCTCAGTGTGGACAGGCACTATCCAATTGGCTGTGGGCCTAGATAGAACAGAAAAAGAGAAAAAAATATTTCCCCCCTATTTCTTTCCTGTACTTGGACACACTGTTTTCTTTCTGCATTTGAACATCAGAACTCCAAGCTTTTTAGCCTTAGGACTCTAGGGCTATACCAGCAGCCCCAGGGTCCTCAGACCTTCTGCCTTGGACTGAGACATACACCATCAGGCTTTCCAGTTCTGTGCCTTTATGACTTGACTGAGCTACACTATCAGCATCTGAGGATCTCCATCTTGCAGACAGTCTGTCATGGGACTTCTTGGCCTCCATAATCATGTGAGTCAATTCCCCTAATATCAAGCCCCTCTCATCTATGTATCTATCTATGTATCTACCTTTGTATCTATGTATGTATGTATATATGTATGTATGTATGTGTATGTATATATGTATGTATATATGTATGTATGTATGTGTATGTATATATGTATGTATATATGTATGTATGTATGTGTGTCTGTGTATGTATGTATGTATGTATGTATCTATCTATCTATCTATCTATCTATCTATCTATCTATCTATCCATCCATCCAGTTGGTTTTGTCTCTCCGGAGAACCCTGACTAACACAAAGCTCTAACCCCATTGATTCTGTTTCTGATGATAGCGCCTTTAAGGATGTAATAAAGGTAAAATGAAGTTCTAAGGGTGTGGCCATAATCTGATAGAATTGATGTCCCTATAAGTAGAGGAAGAGACATCAGAGCTTCCTCTCTGTCTGCGGCATGCAAAGAGAAAAGACTCTGCAAGGACACAGCAAGAAGGCACTGTCTGCAAGCTAAACAGGAGGCCTCACCAGATACCAACCCTGATAACATATTGATCTTGGATTTTCATTCTCCAGAACTGTGAGAAAATAAATTTCTGATGTTTAAGCCACTTGAATTTGAAAATATTTAACAAATTTATACAGAAAAATCTGTATTTTATTATATTTGATCATATAGTTTCATCAGAAAACAGCTACAAGTTTATAAATTAATATTTGTGAATTATTGTGAATTTTTAATGTTCCTGAAATTAACACATTGTATCTCAAAAGAATGAAAGAAAACTCAACTAAGGGAAATCATTGCTGCTTGTGATTTATTTTCTGAGTGTGGGAACTTTCATGATGTCAAGCATACTTTGAGACAGTAATTTTTAGAAAGGTGTTCTGAAGTTAGAAAAAAATTTCTAAACATGTGTGCCTCATAGAATCATGGCAATTCAGAGGCATTAGCCATCTGCTAGATTCGTATGTGTTTTATTTTTCTGAGGCATCGTTTCTGTATGTGCTTGAATCTCACTCCAGAAAATTAGGTGTGAATGAAAGATCTTGTCTTTACTTCCTTCACATGAACCTATGGCAATTTTGGCTTTGAACTCCTTTTATACAGCTTTTAGGGAAATTAGGCCTCAAACTGTACACCCATGGCTCCTCCCAAGTTTCTTGGTCTATGACCTTGTTAGATTGACAGGATCCTCTGATCACTGCCCAAGTTCCTTCAATAATACTGTCTCTGTATTTTGTGCCAGGCTTGGGTCACAGGAATATCTGTAGCTGGTTCACGTTGCTGACGCATAGCAGAGTAATTCTGAGTCCTAGCCCATCGTCATGGTATTGCTTGAGAATAGGGCTCAGGGTCCCCAACTATAGGATACAAGGATTATTTGTTCTATTTCAGGAAAATCTCTCTCATGCAATCTTAATCTTAACCCACCACTAACATCCAGATTAGACTCTTTCCCCCTTAGAATTTATTGTTATTGGTGTGTTTAATATTCTGGAAAAAAACCTCACAAATTAGGTAGCTTTACTCCGTCAAGGTCATATGACACAAGAAGTAAAGAAACTTTAATTTCTTGAGTATATAGAACCTGAGTAGAAAACAAAACAAAACAAAATCATAAGTTGAAAATTAATGTAGCTCATTAATAAACATTTCTAACTTAAAATATAAATATACGGTGTTCAAAAATCATTGTTTTTGTTGTTAATATTATTTTCCCTTGCATTTTTATTCAAAGTCAAGAAAAGTTTCTTATCTTTACAATTTTAGGCATAATTGTGACTTCCTACTGTTACTGGTTGTGTGTGTAGAAGGGAGAATATGAAGAATATTTTCCTTCGTACTTCTAATTTTTCAGTTTGGGAATTTGCTTATCTATCTTAGGTAGAAAAATATATTTAAAAATGGCTACATTCACACATTGAACCACTGCATTTTTAATTTTAGCCCCAGAGAATAATATTGGTCATAATTAAACTGTTTAAGATGACTTCTAGAGAATACTCAGTGCTTCCATACAAAATATTTAGGCTTCATTCTTCCAGATAAAATGTCTCATCATGTACTCAGTCTGGCTGAATCCAATACTTCATGTTGTGTGGTGTCTAATCTGGGGGAGAGAGTGATATTCTACAGGCCGGTAGCCAGCATTTCTGATTTTAAAGTAACAAACTATTCAAATTTCATAGTAAACTCTCTAGAGTGTTTAGAAAATTGACTTTTAATATGTATTTTGGGACAATTCAAATTTTGACTTTTCTAGAAATATGTTATTTTTTGAGGGTATAATGAGAGATATAAGATAAATATTTTTAAAATCTGAATCAAAACCCAACTTATTAACATTTCTAAGTTTTCAATATACATGAGCATGAATTAACAAATTTCAGTGACATTCATCTTTCTATGTAAGAAAAATGCTGAAGTAGGTATGATGATTTGTGAGTATTAAGATATGTGGTTACAGTAAAGTCGCACTCGCTTTTTCTACTGTGTGATCCACACTTCTTTAAAGACACTTTAGGATCAAGAACTTAAACTTACAAAGTTGGGCAATTTGAATCATTGTGTTAAAGAAAAAGTAGAGGGGATCGAGGGGTTATATTTTTATAAAGTTTGAAAATAACACAAAGAAACATTGTAGATGTTATTATTTACTTAAGCATTCAATTTTTAAATCAAATAGTATGGGAAATGGACCATGGATGCATAGCTCTGAATTTTGAACTATCATTTTGAAGTTTGTTTTATTACTTATTCTACATCTCCAAAATATTACTACAATTCATCAGCTTACTCCTTATCATGACTATCCAACCTGACTTTATAACTGATTTCTGGTTTTTCTGTTTGTTCTTTTCTCTCATTTTTCAGAAATGAAATATCAAAACATCTAAATACATGAGTTGTTCTCACCAACCAATTTGCAAAATATAATAGTCCAAACTAACAGGGTAAAACATTTCACTGTTAAAAAGTTTTTAAAGACTTGTACACTTCCTCATGTTTCTTCAAATTTATTTTTGCCGACTTTTAGTCATGATTATATAAGGACTTTGTTATGTAAATTTATTTATATTTATATATATAGATTAAAGAATAATGAAGAAGTTTAAGCAATTTATATATTTAAGTTTTGGCATATCATCAGCAAATAATGTGATTATCCATTTTTAAACTATCATAGAACAAACATACAGAAATATCTTTAAAATAGATGAATAGCCTAATTAAATATTGTTAATTGAATTCCCATACAACTGTTACTCAGGTCAAGAAATAGAATATTGCATTATAATTTGGCTTTTGAAATGTAGTCATCAAAATTATTATATAAAAATACAATTATATAAAAATACAAAAAAATTATATAAAAATATAATAGTTGTGTGTATTTCAAAACACAACTATTATAATGCTTGCTTTAATTTCTAAGCAATCTTTGAAATATTTCAGCTAATATATTCTTCGAAGAAAGAGCTTTCACAAGTCCTTGTTCTCTCTGTAGAAAACCTGAAAACTTGATTTAAATAATTTAAAAACCGTCTTGCTTTGTCTGTTAAAAACATCTAGGCACCCATCGTAGACAATGTTAGTATTACCAGGATAACCATTTATTGTAATATTGCAGGTCAAAATCAATGATACCTCACATTAGTTTTTCATTGTGATGGGAAGTTATTAATGAGTAGCTGCTAAAGTGCCAACCTGATAATAAGTGGATCCCTCTTCCATCCAAAAAAATAGAAAAATTAAAGAAGAAAATGAAAAAGGAAACGAAAGAAATATATCTATTATGGAACCCAGAAAATTCTGGAATTGATGAGCTTGATGATTTGTCCTATGAATATGTACATGAGCAGATGAATACCATGTCTTGTCATTTGTTGTTCAATTAAAGGAGCACATCTGAGGTTCAAGTATCAAGGAAATATGCTTTGAATGGCAGTTGTTCATACTTTGTCATTTAACACTCAGCTGTCATTGGTGTCAGACTCATTTCACTACTCTCTATGCTAAGAAAATAGTTTCATCAATCCTTGCCCTTGCCTGTGTAATATTCAATATTTGAAATATAATACACCATCCTTGTCTTTCTACAGACGTTTCTGCATGTAAGTCCCCTTCCATTTTTCATCAATGTTTTATTTAAATTAAACACAAGTAAGTCTTTCTCACCATCACCTACTGCTGGGTTGCTCTTTTGTTTATTGTTCAAAGTGGGCTTCTTTAACTTTTTCTTTTTATTCTTCTACTCATACTTCTAATGTCTGCCTTACCATTTCCATGTATCTTGTTCCTCCATTTTGATTTATTTCCTTTACTTTGTAAAGATCCAGATGATGGATATAATTTGATCCTTCATCTTTAACTGCTGATTATTTATTACATTGTTAAAATATTCAAAGAAGAATAGAAGGAATGAAGGAAAATAATTCAATGATAAATAAATGTGGCATTCTAGGGAAATATGGATGGGTAGACAATTGACACCAATTCTTCTTAACTGTCAACAATAAATACCTAATTTAGGCAAGCATCAACACAAGCTACCATGTCAATTAGAATTAAAAGTACACATTTTGATTTTAATAAGAAAAATAAATTTTTTGAGTGAATGAGGAGCTAAAAGTGGTGGTGAGAGAAAAGATTTATGGTTAAAGGGTGATAAACGTAAGATCTGTTACAGTTTTCACCTCTGAAAATTCTATTCACCTCCAATTCATTTTGTTACTGCTGCTAAACAATCCTTATGGAAAGCAAAACCAATACTACTACTTCAGTGTAGTAAAGCTGCTTGCAAGTGGTTGGCTGATCTCCCTGGAAAGCAGGGTTATATGAGATTGTTGTGATGGGTGTTTATCAGTGAGTGTAGCAGGATTGTTCAGTAAACTAAAGTACATATTACTGAGCCCATGTGCCTCCGTCTCTGTGGTTTTTCCTCACTGGACAAGGGCGGGGTGGTTAGGAAAATGTTGGATTGATGTCCACAGAGTAAGTCATCTGGTTCACCTGCTTTTCTAGGTCTTCTACTGCTGAGGAAACTTTTTTCTTGACCATTGACCTAATACTGACCAAATATACTGGGCCACATAAAGTCACATTTTTTAACCCTTTTTGCAGCCTAATCACATGTTACCTAATATTCAACAAATACATTGGGGTACTATATATTCACACTTTTAAAAGAAAATTTGCAGCCTAACCGCATATTTTCCCGATAAATTTTAGATAATCGTCTTTCAAATTCCCTCATTATCCAGCCATGCAATTAACCAGTGTCCATGAATAAGTATAGATATAAATTTTCAGGTACAATGGACAAACATCTACCCATGAGGTAACTTTCTCTTAAATATCATCCTTAAAGCCACCATGGTATAAGGTTAGAGCTGTCTTCTTTGGTGCTGTCACTATATCATGCAAAGCCATTTATAAGATGGGTTCAAATAATCTTCTTCCGTCATTTGATTGTAGTCAGTTCCCTTTGAAGCTGTAGGTTCAGGTAGAGAAGAAAAAGCCAGGTATAACAGCAAGAAGAGGTATCATGGGCATTTGCACTACTTACTGATTCACGGCCACATATTTACTCTCCTAGTCTCCAGTTACTAGCTAAAAGTTGTTTCTCAAAGGTAGAATAATTACCTGCAGAAAATGGCATAGCTTTGCTCCAAATTCCTAGATGTCTGTAGGGTACCTACAGCTAGAAGAGAAAGCATTAACCTGTAGGAGTCAATGTCAGCTCGATATGATGATTCAGTTCTTCCAGATGTATTAGTTTTGTGCTGTCGACACAAACAATACAAATTGATTTATTATCTTATGGACTTATAAGGCAGAAGTCTGACATCGGTCTCACTTGGCTAAAGCATGATGCCAACAGGCTGCATTCCTTTCTGAATGCTTGAGAAGAAGAATCTGCTACCTTGACTTTTTCAGATTCTGGAAACCACCATATTTGTTGGCTGGGGCCCCTTCTTCTATCTTCAAAGCCACCAATGGCTGGTTGAGTCCTTTCCATATAAGATTTTTAAAAAATACTTCTTCTTTTGTCAAATCTCTCTCTGAAGAAAAGAATCTATAATTTAAAGAGCTGATGTGATTAAACTGGGCCCACTTGGTGAATTCATACCTTCCCATCTCAAGGTCTGTAATGTTAATCACATCTGCATATTGTCTAGGTAATGTCACATTCACAGGTTTTGGAGATGAGGATGTGAATGTTTTGGGGTAGTTATTATTTTGCCTACCTCAAAAAAATATGCGTAAAGAAATGGCCAAGATACTTATCTAAAATTTTTATTATGAGTCATAATTTTATATTTTTGCAATTTGCTTTTATTTCTTCTCAGAAAATAGAGAAAGGCAGTTGTGAGGTCTTCCATAGTATAAATTTTTCTTTCTTAATTTATCCTTCCTCTTTATTTCTCTCAGAAAGATATAAAATAAAAATAGATATAAATTTTTGACACATGTCTATATCACCTCTTTTAAATAAAATGTAAAATAAAAAAGAAATTGGTGTCATTATTCCCGAGGGCGTTTTAGACATGGATCAGGAAAAGAAAATGTTTGTTATATTGCCCCTTTCATTCAGAGTGCAAAGTTCTCAGCATGTGTAATGTAGTTCTGTTAAATCTCTCTGGCCATGGGTCTCACTGTAAATCAATTTTCTTGGCAAATTGAAATAATTTACTTAGCAGCTCTCAAAATCTTGCCCTTGATTTGAATCAATGTATGCAGAAAACTCATAAACATATTTTTTCCGTGATGTCCATGAAAGTACATAGGTGTAACAGCCACTGGTGGGGCACACTCTACATACTGATAAAAGAGAGGGGAAGCCAGGATGTTTCATAAATTTTTACTTTATAAATCTACTTGCAAAAGTTCCATGCATATGATTTTAGGTCTGTGTTGATAAGAACAGTATTTTAAAATGTTACACTTACAGATAGTATTTGCTATTAAAATAATTGAACAGAGATGTCACATTCAGCTTTAACAACATTCACTATCTTGGCCCAGAAGAATCACACCTTAATTACTTACAGCAGCTACTCTCTCCCCTAATGTACATTTTCTCCAAAAACAATAGTAACAAGAAGAATTTACAATGTTCCTTTTCAATATAACTTGCAGACCAAGAATATCCACACTTAAAATAACCATAATATATTAGCAAGGGTTTATGAATATTTATTTTACTCTTTGGATTATATTTTACTAGTTTTGTTATTTTGTTGTTCAAGTTATTCCAGGTTTGCCCATTGGTAACTCTTTCAGATTGACTCTTTTCTTTTGATATGCATTTTCCTTCTTTTCTTTCTCCTCCTTCTCCTCCTCCTCCTCCTCCCCATTCTTCTTCTCTTTCTTCTTCCTTTGCCCACTCCCTTACTTCCTGGCATTCACTAAGCTTATTTTCTATGTTTCACTCCTGGTTCAAAAATCAGACATTTCTCCAAGGAACCTTGGTTCTTTATTAGCGAGTGGTATTTGAAACTAGGATCTGATGTTTCAGCCTGCTCATTGTTCTTAGATTGTCACTGACTCTAGGCTCTTTCAGCATACAGAGCTAGAAAATATATGAATCTATACTAACTCATTTACATACACACCTGTACTTATTTCTGTATCTAATTTATCTGTATATTTATGTGTGTATATACACACCATTTGCATATATATGTATAAAATTGCATGCTAGCCTTCCTTCTCTAACCATCTCTTATTGCTTATTTGTAACTTCTTTCTCTGGCAGTGAGAAATGTGAATCTCATTCCCTACAATACATTTACTTTTTTATTTAACTTTAAAATACATGTCATTTTAGAATTGCAAATCCATACCCTTGTAAGAAACACATTTTCCCAACTAGAGTACGGCGTATGTGTATAGTTCTTTTTGTCCTCAGTTCCATAATATTCACTCAAAACACTGCCTTTCAGTTACTTAGCACATTTTTCTCTACCATTTTTAGTCACACATTTGCAATATAGTTAGCTTCATCTGTGACATCTGTCATGGTCTGCATTCTATCCTGGTGTCCCCTGATCCCTTGGTTGCCTTTTGTTTAATTTTCATACAAAAACCTTCAGTCTTTTGGATACACAGTTTTATGGGTTTTTGCAAATCCACAGTCATACATCTACCACCACAGTCCCAGCTCCATCACTCTAAAAATTATCTTGGGCAAGAATATTTTCATATGATTATTCTCAACTTAAAGGGAGGCCGAGGAATGTTTTCTGAACAAATTCCTAGGGAATAGGGGATCTGGACAAGAATGCATGCTGTTGGCCCTACCTGAGATATTTACTTTCTTATATAATTTTTGTGTTTTATTTATATCCTTCCCCTCTTCTCATCCTTTTCAGATAACTGCAGTAAAAATTCACTGAAACTGTATCTATACAATAGAGCTGTATTTTTGAACATTAAAAGCAAATATAAACAAACAAGTAAATAATTTGATAGACAATAAACAAAGATACACATATATAAATTCTGGTAAAAGTGAAATAACCTGGGAAGGAAAGAAAATTAGTCACTTAAATATCAGAAGAGATTAGGCTTTCAGATTTAATATCAATTTGACAAGTTCAAATAATGTGAGAGAGAAACAAAAACAATTTGAATAAGAGAGCCAGATTTTCAGTTGAGGAATAATCCTACAGATATGTAGCATAAAGAATGGCAGGATGAAAAGGAACAGGAAAACAACTCTACATATGTATTCTGTGTAATCTTGCCACGCCTTCCCATTAAGGACAGGGTGTGCTGCCCTAACCATTGCAATTTGGGTGTGGCCCTTTGACTTACTCTGGACAATTGAATGATATGGACTAGAACCTGTACCTTTGTGAAGGACAAGCCTCTAGAGTCCTTGCATTTGTTTTACTTCTCCTATGCATCTTCTATATCCTTGAAAGGAGCTTACCCTGTTTGGCTTCCACTCCCTCGGCCTGGCCACAGAATGACTACACGTGGAGCAGACACAAAGCCACATCTTAATGGGGAGCCAGACCGGCCAGATTCAGAATGAAGCACAGCAGCCCAGACATTTCAATTCAGCTGTTTCTAGACCAAAGCACAGGCTCATGGTCAATAAAAAAAATAGAAATAAATACTGTTTTACACCAGCCCCTCGGTTATAGAAAGATTTGTTACAGAGTAATAGCTAGCTAATATAATCAATGCTTCAAACTTCCAGATCTTTGGAGGGCTGAAACTGTAAAGAATTATGCCAGATAAGCTACTTATTATTACTCTAGCCCATTTCATAGTTTGGAGAAGACCAAGCAAAACAATTCAATCTCTGGACATTTGGAAAGGCTTTATTACAATGAATTCAGCCAAAAAGAGAGTCATCGAAGTAGGCCTCTGTGACACTTTTGTCAGAGTTCTTTCAGTGACTGTGGATAACAGAGAAAAAAATAGATGAAGTTTTCTCCCAGGCTATCCTGCTTGTGCAGGCTGCATTCCCCAGTACATTGTCCAGAAATAAATCTTCCCTCCAGGTTTTCGCCATTCTTGCTCACTGAGTAGTTCAGCACTCGGGACACACTTTGGATGGCTAAGTGTCCTTTCAATATCCATGGCTATGAGTTAATTTAATAGGTATTTCTATATAACGTTGCCTTGGCCATATCTTTCATGGTATGACATTGTCCAGTGATAGGATTTAAAATGTATTTGTAGGTCAGGCATGGTGGTTCACACCTGTAATCCCAATATTTGGGGTTATTGAGATGGGAGGAACAGTTAGGGCCAGGAGCTTGAAACCAGCCAGGACATAGAGATTCCATCTTTACAGAAAATAAAAACAAATTAGCCAGATGTGGTGGCACACAGCTGTAGTCCTAACTACTTTGGAGGCTGAAGCAGGCAGATCCCTTGAACCCAGGAGGCTGCAGTGAGCTAATGATCACACTGCACTCTAGCCTGAGTGACACAATGAGACCCTATATCCAAAAATAAAATAATAAAATAAAATAAAAATAAAAATGCATTTATACAATACATTAGACTGTAGCTTTGATGTAGGAATGGAAGAAATTGTGTCCCTTAATTTCCAATTGGGAGAAAATGCCTTGTACCAAGAAATACAATGCAATAAAACTGTCAAGGAATGTATGGAATAATTTATGTAATTTAAAGAACATATGTTTAACTTTTGCTGTTATAGAACAACATAGATACAGGAAACTTTCAAATATAGAACTTCACACTGTAAATAAGACCCAGATCTCTTTGGCATAACTCAATCAAAACTAACATTTCATTTATGGTATATTTGTTTGATATTGTTCTTTCCCCCCTACTCACTCTTGCTTGTTCATGTGAGCATCTCTTTATCACGTGGTACTAAAGTTTCTATTCTATTTTAGTTATCCCGTACATCTCATATATAGTCATGTGCCAAAAAATGACATTATGGTCAACAATGGCTTGCATATATAAAGGTGGCCTATATAATTGTAATGGAGCTGAAAATTTTCCTATTGCCTAGTATTACTAAAAACTACTTTATATCATTATTTTAGAGTGTACTCTTCCTCCTAATTAAAACAAAGTAACTGTTATAACAGCCCTAGGCAGGTCCTTCAGGAGATATTTCAGAAGAAGGCATTGTTATCATAGGAGGTGACAGCTTCAAGTGTGATATTGCTTCTGAAGACCTTCCAGAGGGACAAGAAGTGGAGGTGGAAGACAATGAAATTGATGATACTAACCCTGTGTAGGCCAAAGCTAATGTGTGTGTTGATTTTTAATAAGAAGTTTAAAAATAAACATTTAAAATTTTAAAACTAGATAAAATAACATAGAATAAGAATATGAAGAAAGAAAATATTTTTGTATTGCTGACAATGTGTTTATGTTTTAAGCTAAGTGTTATATTAAAGGGTGAAAGAGTTAAAAAACTTAAAAAGTTTTAAAGCAAAACTGGTACAGTAAATTAAGCTTAAATTATTATTGAAGAAAAAATTTTAAATAAGAAAATTTTTAAATAAATTGATGGTACCCCAATTGCATAATATTTATAAAGTCTACAGAGCTGTACGGTAATATCTGAGGCCTCTGCATTGACTCGCCACTCACTCACTGACTTCCCCAAAGCAACTTCTAGTCCTGCAAACTCCATTCATGGTAAGTGCCCTATATAGGTGTATTATTTTTATCTTTTATACCATATTTTATTATACCTTTTTATGTTTAGATATATTTATATACACAAGTACTTACCATTGTGTTACAATTACCCATGGTGTTCTTTACAGCAATAGTCTGTACAGGTTTATAGCCCAGGAGCAATAGGCTATTCCATATTACCTAGGTAATATTACCTAGGCTATCCCATCTAGGTTTGTAAGTACAATCTAGGATGTAAGCATACCCCATGATGTCTGCCTAATGACAAAATTGCCTAAGGATGCATTCCTCACAACATATCTCAGTTGTGAAACAATGTATGAGTTTAGTTAATTATGTTTTCATCATCTTAATAACAATAATAATCCAAAACTTATGTTAGAATAAACCTCTGTATTTCTGGGTTTTTTTTTTTTTACATAATGACCATGACTTTCTTGAGTAAAATGTGATGATAGTTGAATGTAGTAGCTGAATTTTTGATTATTATAAAAATTAATACATATATACATACATATATATATATACCCAATTTAGACACAACATATCACACAGTTCAGACCCAGAATCCTGGCCTCTTTTAAATTTGTGAACATAAGTTACTGAATATCAAACAACATCAGCCTTCTTAGTGCACAAAATACATGGCTGGATTATGCTTTTTAAATGATGAAACATGTTTTATTTTATAAAAAAGGTGTGTAAGTCAAAACTGGATTATGTAAAAGACTGATAGCTCAGGGAATGTCTACTTGAAGAAAGCTCTGGTAAAATTCAGAAAATATAAAATAAACCAATTTACTTAAAATAGTTGAAAAGATGGTCTGAATATTCATTTTCCAATGAAATTGGCTGATTAATTTGCCTCTTTGAAATGAGTTCAAAATATTAAATTCATAAATATAATATTAATTTTTAAAACTTCTTATAAGGAGCTCTTTTTGTTAGGAAATAAGAAGCCATTTTGTTCATACATAAAATAGATTTAAAAAATTAAAAAAAGATAAAATAAATCTATTTTATGTATGAACAACAAAACATAAATTAGTTTAAAATAAGAGCATAAAGATAAAGGAAATATATCTTTCAGGAATCAGCATCATAAGTTACTTCCTAACAATATTTACAAATTTAAAATTAAGTAACTGGAAAGCAATTCTTAAGGTTACTGGACTTTGTGAATATGATAAATGTTTACTCTATTAGACAGAATAATGGCCCTGAAAGTGTCCATATCTGTGAATACATGAATTCACATGACAAAAGGGACATTGTAGATATGATTAATTAAGAAATTTGAGATGAGAACATTACTCTGGATTTTTTGAGTGGGCCTCAAATAATCATTAATATCTTTATGAGCGAAAGAGAGAAGCAGGAGGGTCAAAGTTCGAGGTGAGCCAAAACGGAAGGCAGAGCAGAGGTTCAAGAGGTGCAATGCAGGCTTGGAAGATGGAAGGGTTACATAATCCAGGGATCAGACATCTTCTACAAGGTAGAATAGACTTTCTTTTCCAGAGAATATAGAAGCACCCATGTTGACACATTGGTTTTAGCCCAGTGAGACTCATTTCTAAACTCCAATATTGTGGGGTAATAAATTTTTATGTGTAAGCTAATAAATTTGTGGTAATTTGTTACATCCACAGTTGGAAACTTTGTATGTGCAAAGGCAATAAAAAATGCAACTAAAGCACAGAAAACTTTGACATCCAAATTTAAAATAGATCCTTAGGTTTCTTTGATATTTAAAGCAGGATTAAGTCTAATTTAAACAGGATTTTTAAAAAGTCTTGCATGGAATCTCTTTTGATTTGTATTAAAGATAAAGCTAGAACTCTGATAGTGCTATCAGTATCATAAAAAATTTAATGTGGCTGCAGTAAAATTTGGGGTGAAAAGGACAGTGATTTTATGCACATTTCTGGATTCAATTATTTGATATGAAAGTAAAAGATTTCTAAACTTTAAAAAATTTTTTTCACTAATTATGCATTTTAGATAGAATGAAATATTTTTAAAACACTTCTAAATTTAGAAATAGTGTGAAAAATATCATGTTAGTTTTGAAAATGTTGAAGAATACATCAGTGTGCACTATTAGTAATGGTAGATAAACTTCTGAAGATGATTTTAAATTGGAAGTTCTATAAACTGATTGCTCAGATTCACAGATATCCAGTGATTCAAATGGTTGGTCACAATTGGTTTCCAATTTTATAGTTTATGTTTTCTTTAAGATGTCTAGTGTTTCAAGAATTATTACTTAAAGAATGAAACTAATATGACTATAAAATCAGATTATGAGAATGAATAATGTTAATTAAATTCTTCTTGAGTCCAGCAGCATACTAGCCACTGATAGCCTTGCCATTTATCATCCATGGGAATTTAAGCAAGTTATTTACATGTGTTAAGACTTGTTTACTTCATCCACAAAACAGGAATAATAATAATACATGTCATATAATGTTCCTGTGAGTGGGTATTAAGTCAGAAAACACCTATCAGTGTCTAGCATGCTGAATTTAGTGTGAGATTTGAAGCTGGGAAATGTGATATTGGCACCCACTCTTGTAACAAGTCCAACATATTGACTCTTTAGTAGGTAGAATAAGTACCTGATTTATTTATTTTCTAGAGAACACATTTCGAATGTATTTTGAACATAACCATTTAATTGATAAAGAATAAAATTTGTGTAAATTTCTAAATCTAGTTCTTTATTTTCATAGGAAATTTCTGGGGAAAAATAAGATTAGAAATTTGGGCATGGGTTTTTTTTTTCTACTTACCTGAAAAACTATGCTAAAAATGTATTTTAATTGGAATGACTATTAATTCATTAAATGTATGTTATTTTCATAATACTAATGCAAAAAATAAGTTACAACAAACTTTATTTAGAAAAAAATTAAAATATAACAATAGCTAAAATATTTAAACAAGATTGATAGACCCTCTAGCTGGATTAACAAAGAAAAAAAAGAAGATCCAAATAAGTACAAGCTGAAATGACAAAGATGACATTACAACAGATCCCACAGAAATACAAAAGATCCTGAGAGAATACTATTAACAACTCTATGCACACAGATAAGAATATCTAGTGGAAATAGATAAACTCCTGGAAATACACAATCTCCCAAGATAGAATCAGGAGGAAAATGAAACCCTGAATAGACCAATATCGAGCTCTAAAATTGAATCAGTGGTACAAACAAACAAACAAACCAACAAACAAATGAAAAAAGCCTATCAACTGAAAAAAAGCCTGGACCAGGTGGATTCACTGTCAAATTCTATCAGACATACACAGAAGAACTGGTACCAATCCTGCTAGAACTATTCCAAAAAATCAAGGAGGAGGGGCTCCTCCCTAACTCATTCTATGAAGCCAACAACAGCCTAATACCAAAATCTGGCAGAGACACAAGAAAGAAAGAAAACATCATGCTAACATCCCTGATGAACATAGACGCAAACATCCTCAATAAAATACAACCAAACCAAATATAACAGCACATTAAAAAGTTAATAGACCACAATTAATTAGTATGTATTCCTGGGATGCAAAGCTTGTTCAACATAAGCAAATCAATGCATGTGATTCACAATATTAACATAATTAAAAGCAAAAACCATATGATCATCTCAAGAGATGCAGAAAAAGGTTTTAGTAAAATCCACCATTGCTTCACGATTAAAAAAAAAAAAAACCCTCAACAAATTAAGCATCAAAGGAACATAAAACAATAAGAACCATCTATGATAAGCCCACAGCCAACATAATACTGAATGGGCAAAAACTGGAACCATTTCCCTTAAAAACTAGAACACGGTAAGAATGCCCTCTCTCATCACTTCTATTCAATATATTAATACTACTGGAAGTCATAGCCAGAACAACCAGGCAAAAGAAAGAGAAAAAAAGGCATCCAAATAGGAAAAGAAGAAGTTAAGCTACCTGTTTTCTGATTATATAATTTTATTCCTAAAAAACTTTCAAGATTCTGCCAAAGCCTCCTACAACTGCTAAACAACGTCGGTAAAAATTTTCAGGATACAAAATCAACGTACAAAGTCAGTAGCATAACATTTATACTACCAATACTAGTAGACCATAAGGCCCAGGCTCAGAGCCAAATCTAGAACACAATCCTATTTACAATAGCCACAAGAAAATGAAATACGTAGGAATACAGCTAACCAAGGAGGGAAAGGTCTCTACAAGGAGAACTGCAAAATGCTGATAAAGGAAATCAGAGACAACACAAATAAATGGGAAAACATTCCATGTTCATGGATTGGAAGAATCTGTATTATTACAATGGTGATCCTGCCCAAAGCCATTTACAGATTCAACAATATTATTGTCCAACTACCAAGAATATTCTTCAAAGAATTAGGAAAAAAAAAACTATTCTAAAATTCATATGGAACTAAAAGTGAGTTCAAATAGCCAAAGCAATCCTAAGCAACACAAATAAATTTGGGGGCATCACACTACCCGACTTCAAACTATATTATAAAGCTATCATAACCCAAACACACAGTACTTGCACAAAAACAGGCACATAGACCAATGAAACAAAATAGAAAACTTAGAAATAAAGACGTGCACCTGTAACCATCTTATCTTTGATAGGCCAACAAAAGCAAGCAATGGGGAAAGACTCCCTATTCAATACATGGTGCTGGGATAACTGGCTAGCCATATGCAGAGAAATGAAACTGGACTCAACCATATACAAAAATTAACTAAAGATGGATTAAATACTTAACTGTAAGACCTTAAACTATAAAAATCCTAGAAGGAAACATAGAAAATACCCTTCTCAACATCAGCCTTGGCAAAAAAATTTTGGCTAAGTCACCAAAAGCAATTACAACAAAAACAAAACTAGCCAATGGGACCTAAGTAAATAGACTACTTACAAAATGGTATAAAATATTCACAAGTTATACATCTGACAAAGGTCTAATATCCAAAATCGATAAGAAACTTATCAAAAGACAAATAACCTCATTAAAAAACTAGCAAAGAACATGAACAGACACTTCTCAAAAGAAGACATACCTGTGGCCAACAAACCCATGAAAAAATGCTCAACATCGCTAATCATCAGAGATACAAATCAAAACTACAATGAGCTACCATCTCACACCAGTCAGAATGGCTACTACTAAAAGTCAAATAAATAATAAATACTGATAACGCTACAGAGAAACAGAAACATATATAAACTGTTGGTGGGAATGTAAATTAGTTCGGCCACTGTGGAAGCAGTTTGGAGATTTCTCAGATAACTGAAAACAGCACTACTAGTTGATCCAGCAATCCCATTACTGGGTATATAACCAAAGGAAAATAAACCATCCTACCAAAAAAAAAAAAAAATCCACGTGCACTTATATATTCATTGCTGTGCTATTCACAATAACAAAGACATGGAATCAACCTAGGTGCCCAACACTGGTGAACTGTGTAAACCAAAGGTGGTACATATACCCCATGTAATAGTGTGCAGCCATGTAAAAGAACAAAATCATGTTATTTGCAGCAACATGGATGTAACTGGAGGCAATAACCTGAAGTAAATTGACGCAGGGACAGAAAACCAAATTGCACGTTCTCACTTATAAGTGGGAGGTAAACATTGAACACACATGGGCATAAACATGGGGATTATAGATACTGTAGACTACTATAGAAGTTAGAAGGAGAGAGAAGAAATGGACGGAAAAACCACCGATTGGGTACTCTGCTCACTCTCTGGGTGATGGCTTCCCTACCCCAAACCTCAGCAACCTGCATTATACCCATGTAACAAACCTGCGCTTATGTACCTGTATCTAAATAAAAGTTTAATTAAAAAAAAGTTAAATTAAGAACAAATGTTAAAATAAGAAATATCGAAAACTCAGCAGTGCCTGAAATGTTTAAACATTTACCACTTGATACAAGAATAAATAAATAACTTTGGTATTAAAAAGTTTATGCAATGCCCAAATTTGTTTGAAAAAGTATTTTATCTTATATTAATGGTTTCTGCAAGGTATTTTTGTTCATTACTCTCTCAAATAATGTTCATTTCTTTTAAGAATTCTTAGTACTTCATTGTTTTTTTCAATGATTGCTGGTATCCCAGAAAGATTATTTTTAATTCTGCATATTCCCACAGGGGAACAGTCATATATTGGTGTAGCACTTATGTCTGTAGATCCCTAGAGGAATAAATGCTGATAAAGCCTGGAAGATCCAAAGGAATTTAACATCTTTTACTAAAATTGATACAAGATGGTTAATGTATCATTAAAACAATCTCACCTATAAACACTTCACAATTTTGTTGGGATGCTTTTATTTTTGGAACTTTTACTCGTTCTTATTCCTGAGGCCTAGAAGATCACAATGTCTAACATATTTTACAGAAAATGTAATACAAAATGAATGTAATTTTATTAAAAATACTGTTTTACTAACAAAAGTGGATAAAAACAATACATTTTAAAATTATTCACACGACATTTACTATAAAGTCCTTTGATGTTTACTTAAGGTTCATATCTTCAAGGATCGAACATTATACCGTACCACAATAACCTATACCAATTTTCTAATTTGAAAAAATCTTATAGCAGCTTCACATATATATGGATATAATTTTGCCCTCCATCTGCTATGACTATTTTGTTTAAAAATTGTATGATCATAAATCAGGTTATCTTTCACTAGTCACTAGTGAGGTTATTGGCAAATTGGTCCCTATAGTCCTGTCCTAGTTTCTGCCCTATGGTTATTTGCTATATGTAGTATTTCAAGTCTGATGTGTTTTTTGATTGTTTTACTTTCTCTCCCCTCCCTCCTTTCTTCCTTTATTCTTTCTTTTTTTCCTTGTTTTCCTTTTACTCGTCCATTCTCCCTTCTCCCTCCTCTTCCCTCTTCTCATCCCTCTTCTCCCCTTTTCTTTTCTTTAGCATATTGTTAACCAAATAATATATTGAAGTCAGAGCTTATTTCAAAAAAGCCTGTGTTTGTGGATAACATCAGATTTGTCATGATTTTAGTGACGTAGCTGAGGTTAAAAACATTGGTTTTGATATAAATGTGTTCAACTCCATGTAGAATGAGTAAGAGTAGCTTTATGTTTCTTTCTTGTAATTTCCCCTCTTTATATTACATTTCAAATTAACCTCTGTTCTCAAGTGGTTTCTGGAAGACATTTCACTGATACTAAGGCTTGTATCACTCAAAGTATGTGAGAAAAGAAAAACAATGACAAGATTGTCCCAATATTTTAAGATTCTAGAGGGAAATTAAATTTATCTGTGATATTCTTTGCTACTAGTTGCTAGCAGTGCTAGCTGTGGCTCCCTATAAAGGTCTGTGTTCTGCTTTTATAAATAGAACACATCCTATTTATAAAATAGAAACTTGTTATTGTAAAATTGAAACTTTATCTCCCTAAGTTTATAGTATTTTAAATCTTTGGCTTTCAATCTTATGAAAGGTTTATAAACTGAGTCAAGGCAAAGTATTTTGTAAATAATTGCTGGTCTCCACAGCATGCAAACATACCTCTTGCTTATCATTAAAATGGGAAGATTTTTGTGTGTATACCTGTAGCTATTTCATAATTTCCCTTTTTCTCTAGCTTTCCTTTTTTGGAGCTCATTGCCCATTTTTTGCTTAGCTAGTTCTCTGGGCATTATGCCCAGCTTGGGTTAATATTTGTTTATTTTCATTTACATTATCCAGGATGATGTTTTTTAGCTGGGTGCCTTAGAAATGATTGTAATTCAGTAGCAAGGAATATATTTATTAAATACATAAGTACATTAGATCATCAGAGATGTTTTTCTAACATCAGTTAAATGACAGATGAGTATATATATTTTGTGATTTTTTTAGCTTGGTAACCTTTTTGTCTTTAAGCCAGTTTAGATTGTTTCATGTCTAGATGGGTTCATGTCCCTTCCTGTTATTCCAAGGGCAATCATGTGTTAATATCCCTTGCTATTTCACACTTTAAAAAGACAAGGGAAAATGTGTGTTTTAAGCAACAAGTACTTTGGTTAAAGAAAGTGATTAGATTGATGTAAACTAAATGAGATGACTTAAATACTATATCTGTAAGGATTTGCTCAAGAAAACAAAAAGTATGCAAGGTATCTTATCAGAAAGGGATATAGTAAAGGGAATTGAAAGCTTGCTTATCATTTCCTAGAGAGAGAAAATATCAGAATCACTTCTAGAATTTAGAAAATCAAGGACAATCAAGAAGAAAAAAGATCAAAAATTTTTTTCAAAATAAATATATTATAAATTTACCATTTGCACTTCTCACTGTCAATTGTCAGTCTATATCTCAGATATTGCTGCTTAATAATTGAAGAAGCAATATTTGCAGGAAACTAATCTGTAGCTGCAGTTCTATTTACTTCAAGAAAACATTACAAGTATATATAGCTATGTTTGAGGTGAAATCTTAATTTTAAATTTGAACAAATCATAAATAAGTACAAAATTTAAGAATAGAATCATTAGAGACAAACTATTAAAAATAAATTATTTATGTTGGAAGAAATATTAAAGCAATATGAATACAACACAAAAGCAAAAAGAGAAGCCAGATGGCTGGAGAAATATTTTTCTGAATTGAATAAAAAAGCACCAAAAGCTAAAGAGATTGCAGGTAATATTACAGATAAAGAGAAGATAAAATGGAAATTCATAGATATGGTTTTTAATTCTTTACAGGTATTATTTCCTTAAATTCTTCCTTAGCTCTGAAAGAATCCATTTTTATATTAGAGAATCTTACTGTAGGACTCAACTAATGTAGATCTAATACCTGCTTTATTTCAAACATTGTAAGATTAGCCTAATCTTGATGTGAAAACAGATAAATTAGCATAAGAAAGAAAAGTTGAAAAGAAAAAAAATAAGAATGTTTTAATGCTGTATATCTTTACCTCCTTCCCCTAGTATTTCTGAAATTTGTGACTATTTGAAAGGTAGAGAAAACCAAGTAGATACCAGTTTGCAGGACGTTTTACAAAGAAGATGGAACACAATTGCTTTTTAGCCTACTTTTCTTTTAATATAATCATAGCAGTGGGTAAAACAAGCAAGATAAAATGGAAGGTAGTGTCACAGGATCCTTGAGGTGTTGCTTTTCCAGCCAGAAACCTCTATGGCTGGCAATGACTTTGCCTGAGTTTTGCTGAGGCCCTCTTGGCTGAGGCCCTCTTAGTTCACCCTACCAGCCTGGATTCCACGCCTGCCAAGGGCGAGCCAGGAGCAGAGCGGAGAGGGGTGTGTGAGCGAGTGATTGTGGGGTCCCACCACTGCATACAGCCAGGCACGCCGGCTGACACAGGGCAGGCTGCTCCAGGTACCGGCATGGGCACCAGATCCCTGCAAGGCTGCGGCTGGACAAGGCATACTGCAAGTGGGTCATCTCAACAACTGCTCAGCTCTCAGCAGAGAGGAGACCCGCAATGAGTCGCTCCTCTCCACAGGCAGGTCTTCCCAACTTCTCCCCAAATCTCACTGAGTCTGGGAATTGTATGGGCTCCAAAGGAGAGGAACTGAATGCTGATTGGTCCATGGGTGGCCATGGGCAAGCCAGAAAATGTTCCATAAGTTCTCACTCTGGTCAGCAGAGCTGGCAACCCAGCCCCAGTACTTCAAGCTGTCCCAGGCCTGAAGGTGGGGCTTCATCGGGGGAACCCACCCTTTTCCACCCAGAAGCCTGTCTGCCTCCAGCTGCCATCAACCTGCCATACCAATGCCCAGGCTGTTGGTGCTATGGGATGCCTGCAGGCCTGTGCCAATCTACTCGCAAACCTGCCTTGGCCTCCTCCCCATGCTCCTTGGTGCCCAAAGTCTAGACGGGACCAAGGCAGCAGGAGGCTGGCATGTCAGTGCTGCCTGAGCCAGTGCACACCTGACCGGGTTATGACAGCAGCCAGGCTCAGCCACAACTTTGCTCCAATATCGGGGTGGACACCGGGAGCAGAGAGAGGCCAGGCAGCAGGAGCAGGCACTTTTAAGCCTGCAGAGGTAAGAGTGATTCTGGCCCCCCAAGAGTGGAAAGGTGCTTGGGTCCCCAGCAATGGCTGGGCAGCTGCAGCTGCACCTAGGAAGGCGGGGCTCCTCCCCCTCCAACTCAGAAGGGGATGAGGCTTCCACCTGTTCCAGGCTCCTGCCAGCTCTGTAGAGTGTGGGGCCTGGGCCATTTCTCCCTTACTGTAGACAACGTCATGGCAGCAGCCACCACTACCATTAGTACCTTAAATGATTTTTAGTACAGTCAAAACTGAACTACTCATTGGAAAAACATATTTGAGTATTACCATAAGCTTCCAAAAGTAGATACTTAAATCAGTGTTTTTATGCATAATTGAAACCACAAAACCCTCTATTCATGTCTACACAACTTATTCCAACGTGGAGTTTCAGGTGATTTTCTGCTTTATTTGAGTTATTGTTTACTTCATTCATTTATATTTGTTCTCATTCAAAGATCATCATTGTAAAATTGAGTCTCCTTGGTAAAGCAAATATGTTACCTGTGGGCTGTTATGAAATCTTATCCCTTCTTACACTCATCATTTCACTCTTGTATTGAAAAGAATTTAAAAGTTACAAAACTTCTGCTGGTTTCTTCTTCAGTGTGTAGATCTGTATGGTCTTTCTAATAGTAACAATTAGATTTATTTCTACAAAATAAGCTTGAAATATTTTAATCTTTATAGTTTAATTAATTTATAGATTTCCATTATGAATTGCCCTCCTATTCAATTCTGACCACTCAAAAATAAACTAAGAAAGATAATTTTATTTATGAATATTGAACACAATTTCTAAGAAAGCATTAACACATAGTAACCATCATTATGGTAAAAATATTTCTGACAGATTAATTCTAGAACTTGTATTATTGTGAATAATCATATTAATAATACATTTTGTAACAACATACCAAGGAAAAGTAAAACAATGCACATCTGCATAACTGCCAACAGTATTTGAAAAAGTTATATATTAATATTTACTATTCATTTTTATTATATTAGATTGAGTACATATACCATTAGTATTATACATGCACATTTATACAGAATTGGCAAAAAATCATAGATTTTTAAAACAATAGGAACATACTCATTAAATCAAGTAGGGGAAAAAAGGTGATTGTTTTTACAGCTCCTATTCAGATTTGTCCTAGAAGTAGTGGAAAATAGAAGTAGGCCAAAAAATATACAAACAGTATAAATATTAATGTGCAGTAATTAAAATATTCAAGTAAGAGGACACATTGTTTTCTTATTGAAAATCCTTAATATGGACAGAAAAACTGTTTTGAAAAGAACATTCAGTAAAGGCAGTATTTAAAACTAATTAAATAGTTAATATCCTTCCTAAAGTAAAAATATTCTTATTAATTTGCTAATGAAACAACGGCCATCCAACGTTTCAGCCTCCAGTAGACTCAATATTATTCAGATGCTAATTAACCTCAAATTATTCATTTGATTTAAAGGATTGCCAAAATTATTCCATAAGTTTACTGTTCTTTCACTAAGAAAAACCATCTAAAATGTTACATACCAAACATACATAAATAATACAAAATGGGGAAAAATGTAATTCTAACTATCATTATTCTATAACAGTTCTCTAATTTTAGCAATAAGTCTTGTTACTATTATCCATTTTCTCTATCTACTTGCTTATTCTTTTTAGATTAGATATATCTAGTTTAATAGATATTTCATTTCTTATCATTTTATCATTTTTTATTATTAAAACAATTCTAGTGTATAGATGCTGTTGGTTTCAAATACATATATGTATTGTCTTATTTTCTGGTTGCTTTAACATCTATTAAGATAAAGCTTACAATCATCTGCTTGTACTTTGTTGAACCTCCTCTCTTTAATCACCTCTGGCCTTTCTTCATCATCATCTCTTACGGCCATCTTCAAGCCTTTGTTCATGCCAACAGCAGCACTCTCAAAAATCTCAATCTCAAGTACTCCACTCTCTAACAATTATATCTTTTTTTTTTTTCCAGCTCACATCCTCTAGTACCTTGACTTCATTCACACCTTTATTTCACCTGGAATTAAAATACAATGATCCTACCACTTTTCATGCTTCCTCGTCCCCTTAACATCTCTTGTTCTTTTTTTTTTTTTTTTTTTTTTTTTTTATTATACTCTAAGTTTTAGGGTACATGTGCACATTGTGCAGGTTAGTTACATATGTATACATGTGCCATGCTGGTGCGCTGCACCCACTAACGTGTCATCTAGCATTAGGTATATCTCCCAATGCTATCCCACCCCCCTCCCCCGACCCCACCACAGTCCCCAGAGTGTGATATTCCCCTTCCTGTGTCCATGTGATCTCATTGTTCAATTCCCACCTATGAGTGAGAATATGCGGTGTTTGGTTTTTTGTTCTTGCGATAGTTTACTGAGAATGATGGTTTCCAATTTCATCCATGTCCCTACAAAGGACACGAACTCATCATTTTTTATGGCTGCATAGTATTCCATGGTGTATATGTGCCACATTTTCTTAATCCAGTCTATCATTGTTGGACATTTGGGTTGGTTCCAAGTCTTTGCTATTGTGAATAGTGCCGCAATAAACATACGTGTGCATGTGTCTTTATAGCAGCATGATTTATAGTCCTTTGGGTATATACCCAGTAATGGGATGGCTGGGTCAAATGGTATTTCTAGTTCTAGATCCCTGAGGAATCGCCACACTGTAGGAAGAATCAATATCGTGAAAATGGCCATACTGCCCAAGGTAATTTACAGATTCAGTGCCATCCCCATCAAGCTACCAATGACTTTCTTCACAGAATTGGAAAAAACTACTTTAAAGTTCATATGGAACCAAAAAAGAGCCCGCATCGCCAAGTCAATCCTAAGCCAAAAGAACAAAGCTGGAGGCATCACACTACCTGACTTCAAACTATACTACAAGGCTACAGTAACCAAAACAGCATGGTACTGGTACCAAAACAGAGATATAGATCAATGGAACAGAACAGAGCCCTCAGAAATAATGCCACATATCTACAACTATCTGATCTTTGACAAACCTGAGAAAAACAAGCAATGGGGAAAGGATTCCCTATTTAATAAATGGTGCTGGGAAAACTGGCTAGCCATATGTAGAAAGCTGAAACTGGATCCCTTCCTTACACCTTATACAAAAATCAATTCAAGATGGATTAAAGATTTAAACGTTAGACCTAAAACCATAAAAACCCTAGAAGAAAACCTAGGCATTACCATTCAGGACATAGGCATGGGCAAGGACTTCATGTCCAAAACACCAAAAGCAATGGCAACAAAAGCCAAAATTGACAAATGGGATCTAATTAAACTAAAGAGCTTCTGCACAGCAAAAGAAACTACCATCAGAGTGAACAGGCAACCTACAACATGGGAGAAAATTTTCGCAACCTACTCATCTGACAAAGGGCTAATATCCAGAATCTACAATGAACTCAAACAAATTTACAAGAAAAAAACAAACAACCCCATCAAAAAGTGGGCAAAGGACATGAACAGACACTTCTCAAAAGAAGACATTTATGCAGCCAAAAAACACATGAAGAAATGCTCATCATCACTGGCCATCAGAGAAATGCAAATCAAAACCACTATGAGATATCATCTCACACCAGTTAGAATGGCAATCATTAAAAAGTCAGGAAACAACAGGTGCTGGAGAGGATGTGGAGAAATAGGAACACTTTTACATCTCTTGTTCTATAGCCAACTCATTGCAGTCTTTCCCATGCATATACTTCCTCACTTGCCTACTATTTCCCTGGAAATTTTGCCTTTGCTAAATTGCAGCTCTTGATTATTTCACACCCAAACCTCTGCAGTCAACTGTGACTGGAGAAAACTAGCCCTGCTGGGTGGTATCAAGTTAAATTCATGACCACTACCCTCAGGAATGTTCTGAATTACTTAACATAATAAACATCGTTCTGTAAACCAAAAATAGAATTTTAAGTACTCAACTGACTTAATGGACTCTCCTCTCTGCCAAGAAGACCCTAAGAAGCCTGAAACACTACTTCAGGCCATGACAGGAAGGGGGGCACCAGACATGCCTCACTATTCTCTCCTTTCTTTGGAGTTCTAGAATAACTGCAGAGCATTAACACTGAAATAGAGATCATAGGACTGACAGAATAGACGCTTTGTAGCAATAAGATACCAACTCCAACCAGATATTGGTATAACATCACATGACAGACAACAAGCCTTAAAAGGAAATCAAAGTATTTTATCTCCAAATAGATCACTTGGTATATTTTGAAATGGCCCAGGAAAGTTGTTTCTTATGGGGAAAATTTGCATTCTGTAGACAATATCTTTTCCTTACTAGGTCTTTGTCATAACTTCTGTCTCCCTAAAATGTGTACAATCAAACTGTAACTTAACCACCTTGGGTACATATTTTCAGCACCTCCCGAGGCTGTGTCAAAGGTCATGATCCTTCACCTTGGTAACATAAACTTCTTAATTTATTGGGACCCGTCTTAGAAACTTTTTGGTTTATAGTTACATTTTTAATTAGGGTGAAATCTCAAATGTTATTTCCCATTGTTTTTCGGTTTCTGTTTTGTTTTGTTTTT